>NC_000002.12:25237028-25388543 GCF_000001405.40 Homo sapiens | reverse complement strand
TTTTCCTTTTCTTCCTCTCTCCAGTCTTGGAAGCAGCCTAACTCCTTCCTTTCAAGTATGATCTTGTACCACTGAACTGAGGCCCACTGGCTGGCTCTGGTTGATGGAGAAAAAGTACTTTCTTCCTTCCTCAAAGAGGTCAGGTACTTGAGATAACGTATTTTCTGTCTTTGAATCTCCAGGCTCAGGCCACAGGGTCACCACATACATCGCCCACCCATGGAGGCGGCCGGCCAATGCCCATGCCAGTGCGCTCCACGTCTGCCGGCTCCACCCCCACCCACTGTCCGCAGGACTCGCTGAGCGGAGTCGGGGGAGACGTGCAGGAGGCCTTCGCACAAGGTGAGTTTCTGGAGCAGAGTTCAGCGGGGAGCTGAAGGGATGTGCAAACACGGACAAGATTCCTGCTGAGGTTTTTTCCATTTCTGTTTTGTGCTCTTTGCTTGGAATGATCAGATTTTGACAGACAGTGTAAATAAGTCAGGTGCTGGCCCCTTCTCATGAGACGGGCTGGTCTCCAGCGGGAGGGCTGCAGGCTTCCTATGTGTGCCAAGAACAGGCCTCCTGGGGTTCTCTGCCCTTTTTTCTGGATTATTGGAAGTGCTTTGTCCTTTGGGCTTTGTCTCCTCCAGAGGAATTGGATGGAATAATTCCCTGGCCTAGAAGGGACTGTAACAGGCACTGTAACTGGGACCGTGCTGAAAGCACAGTATGCACGCCATTGTCACAGTCATCGGGGGAGCTGGTGACCAGCAGTATTAAGTAGTTGGGTGGGGATTCAGAGGGAAGTCCTGCTGGGGCTGGAGGTGAGAAGGGGAGGTGGTAGTGGTGGTTGTGGAGAGTACAGCCCCACCCCCACAAGGCTGAGGAAGACCTCGGTGGAATGCTTATTCTGGAACCCAGCTCTGGATTGTGTGGTGGCGGCAAAGCGTGGAGTTGACAGGATGCTGCTCCCTAGGTAGAGAGGGCAGAGGGAGAGGGACCAGTGGGCTGGTGCCTCCTGCCCCCGGTGTGCCTGGGAATGGGTGGAGCTGCTGTGGCCCCATCTCCCCTTAGGTGTTCCACACCTGTGTTCTCGGGCCTGGCAGAACTGAGGCATTTGCTCAGCCGTCTCTTCTCCACGCTCACCCACCCTGGCATCCCCATCTGCTCTGCCTCTCCTCAGGTACGAGGAGAAACCTCCGCAATGACCTGCTGGTGGCAGCTGACTCCATCACCAACACCATGTCATCCCTGGTGAAGGAGCTCCATTCAGGTGAAACCCAGAGCTCCCAGCCAGCTTCCTGGCCTCCCCTGCCTTGCCCGCGCCCTTCTCACTTCCTTGCCAGCACCGGCAGAACCTCACCACCCAGCTTGCACCACCCCATTTCATCACCTAACTTTGCCTTCTAGGAACACACTGGATGTCTCCACCCAGAGAGCCTCTGTCACACAGGATCGCGTAGGGGCGGTTTCACATTCAGGCCTATCTCAGGAGTGCATCTTGTGGAGCAAGCTGAATGTAGAGAAATTCAGACCTTTCAGTGCAGGCAGGCCCCTTCCTCACTTACCTCGTCTTCCATCTGTACTTTGTCCACAGCCGCTCTCTCCCTAGGCCTGACCGACCACCTCATTCTGAAACTTCCCTGGAGGTCTGGAGCGGAATCAGCCAGGAAAGCTCTGGACCTTCCCCTGCTGCCTTTCTGCTCTCTCCTGTTTGATTTGTTTTTGAAACCTATTCCCTCCTTTTGTCCGTGACCAGGCTCTGATTTCACCTGAAGTTCATGACCTGAGTCTGTCGCCTCTTCTGCTCCTTGTGTTCAGCTCATCTGTGACTTCTTTCTCAGTCTCTCCATCACCTCACCAATTCAGTGACTTCCCAAAGACCTTTACCTCGTGGCATTTCACCTTACATAAAACCCAGGAAAGAGAGAGAAAATAAAAGGCCATTCACGTATCCTCCTATCTCCAGGAATCCCCATGACTCTACCAGTTACGTAGGGGCCAGAGAGTCACTAACGATTTCACAGCGGTGGGGTCTCCATGTTTTGTGTTAAACTAATGGTTTCCCTCCCTAAGCGCTGTAGGTCACTCACACTGATGGCTCTCTTTTGTTTCTTTCCACCTAATGTAGTGCTTTTAAATACCTTGAAGTAGCTTAACAGGATTATTAAATAAAAAGATAAAGCAGTTTTTCCACGGACGATTCAAACACATACACTTATTCAAACACTCTTAGGGAAGGCAAGCCTTGGGTATTTTTCAGCCCTTCGTAGGAGAAAGCTCACATGTTTAGGGTTGTCATGGGACTGGACAGAGCCCCCAGCTCTGCTCTCAAGTCTGCCTGTTTTCATACAGACCAAAGTGAGTGTATAGCCCAGCTTCGTCTTTCCAGTCAGTTAAGGTCAGACGCTGCCTCTCTTGTTTGATGGTGCCACCCTCTCCATTCTAGCACTGTTTCTCAACCCCCATCAGAAGCACGGCCCCGCTCTGTACACATAAACAGAAGAGGCGACAGCCTTCAGGATGACCTCACAGGTGATTAGAAGGCGCTTTCCCTAATGCAGCTCCCCACAGATGTCAGAAATCCCACTTTTAGAGGAAATTTCTCAGGGAATTTCGGGCCATGGGAATTAACTACACTTGTACTTCATGGCCACTTATTAGAGTTTATGCAAAATAAGTGGCTTCTGCGTTCATCGTGCTAGGGTGAGAGGTCATTAAATACCATTAAGTGGAAAGCACATAGAGACCAAATAGCTTCACAAAAATGTAAAGCTTATAGGAATCCTCAGCAGTGTCTCATAGTAAGAAAGGATGGTTTCAACAAAATTATGTAGTGTAATTTGGAAGGTGCCTTAGAGAGCACATTGTCCAGTCCCTTACTTTAGAGATGTAGCCTGTGCTTATCAGAAAAGTGGTCTGCCTAAGGTCGTGCAGCTTGAAGGGGGAAAGCTGGTCCTAGAACCTGGGTCTTCAGAGCATCAAGCCAGAGATCTTACTCCCCTCCAGGACAAGATAGCAAACCCAGAGTCCCAGAGGCCCCTTTCCCTGATGCTGTCCTCTCAGTCACTGAAGCCTGTAGGTAGACGTGGACCAAAGCCACACATGGCACGGTATCCCTCTAACATGCAGACATAAACTCCCTTTACATGTGAGGGTGCCAATTTCTCAGTGAATGGAATAGCTTCACCCATCACCAACATGTTTTTACTGTCTCCTTGACAGTGACTTGACAGGTTTTTGTTCCAATGAGAGGACATACTCAGATTATCTTTACATATATTCTATACAGTGTATACATACTGTATATACATAGCTTGTAGTCCTCATCTTTATAAAGTTTTTTCACAGATAATCGAATCCTAGAATTGGAAAGGATCGAGGCCACAGGCACAGTGGCTCACACCTGTAATCCCAGCACTTTGGGAGGCTGAGGCAGGTGGATCACCTAAGGTCAGGAGTTTAAGACCAGCCTGACCAACATGATGAAACCCCGTCTCTACTAAAAATACAAAATTAGCCTGGCATGGTGGTGCATGTCTGTAATCCCAGCTACTCGGGAGGCTGAGGCAGGAGAATCGCTTGAACCTGGGATGCAGAGATTGCAGTGAGCCAAGATCGCGCCGCTGTAGTCCAGCCTGGGCAATGAGCAAAACTCCATCTCAAAAAAAAAAAAAGAAAAGAAAAGAAAAAAATTGTAAAGGATGTTAGAAGTCATTTAATCCAACTCGCCACCCAATAAAACAGTCCTCTGAATATTTCCAGCGAGCTCATTCATGATCAACTCTAATCACTGGAAACTTCTTCCTCAGTGGGGAGCCAAAATCTCACTTTCTGTAACTGATTTATCCCTGTCCTCTCAAGCTACCCAGGATAAGCTCAGTCCCTCCTCTGCAGGCTCGCCTTTCACGGGTTGGATGGCAAATGACAACCCTTCCTAGTTTTCTCCTCTGTAGACTGCTACACCCAATTCCTTCAACCTTTCCAAACGTGACATGGTTTTCTCTTACCAGCCTGCTTGACCATACCAGGATGTGGCCATTTTCCAAGGCTCCTATTCAAAGTACATGCCCAGGGCCCAGCACCCTGCTCTCCATCACAGGGGATCTTGTCCCTGCAGAGCACAAGGCATCTGTGACCCTCTTGAGTGTCCCCTGGAAAAGCACCTTAGACGGCATTAGCACTTCCCACATAGCCACTTTGCACTGTGCGGTCATTTTAAGTTTATCATCAGCTAAAACATACGGAATTTTTTTTTTTTAACAGAACCCCGTGTTAATCTAGGTATTCCCCCACCATATATTGTATGGTCACTTTCTTAAACCTGAATGCAAGACATTAGATGTCTCCCTGGTCATCACCACCTGAGGGCAGACAGGCATAGAACAGAGGCACGCAACCCCACACTGCACGCCCCCAGCCCTGGTCAGGAAAGTGAGCGATGTGACCGCACTGCTCCCTTTGGGCTGTGGTCTTACGGGCTCCTATTCAGCAGTGCTGGGGCGTGGGCCGCACAAGTGCAGACTGGTGAGCTGAAGCACCCTCAGAGGCCTGCAGCCAGGAGCTGTTAGCTAGAGTTTCCTCCCAAGCCTCAGCAGTTGCTTTGTTCACCCTCCTTCTGTACTTGTCCTGTGCCGAAGGGTCACTGGCCTCCTTGGACTTGTTTTCACAGCAGAGGAAGGTGCAGAGGAAGAAGAAGAGAAGATGCAGAATGGGAAAGACAGAGGTAAAGGCAGCTCAGCAGGACTGCTCGTTTAAATGGGGAGCCCGAGCTCATGGATCAGCCGCCCCCCACTTTGTTTCTGCATTCCTCCCTGCCACCACCTTTCCCAGAGCTTTCGGACCCGAGGTCCCTGTACCTACTTTTCCCATCTGACAGTCAGGTTTTACCTTCCAGGTGACAAGGTCAGTCGATCACCAAGAGCTTCCTCATTTCCTGATCCTGGGATAGGTAGTTGGGATACAGGAAGTAGATACAAGTAGAACACAAAAGATGACCCTTTGACTGGAGAAGTTTATGATCTAGTTAATAAAGCAAGACCAGGCCAGGTGCGGTGGCTCACGCCTGTAATCCCAGCACTTTGGGAGGCTGAGGCGGGTGGATCACAAGGTCAGGAGTTCAAGACCAGCAGGCTGGCCAACATAGTGAAACCTCATCTCTACTAAAAATACAAAAAATTAGCCAGGTGTGGTGGCAGGCGCCTGTAGTCCCAGCTACTTGGGGAGAATGAGGCAGGAGAATCACTTGAACCTGGGAGGCAGAGATTGCAGTGAGCCGAGATCACACCACTGCACTCCGTCCTGGGCAACAAGAGTGAAACTCCATCTCCAAAAAAAAAAAAAAAAAAGACCAAAAATGCAAAATAAATAGATCAAATGAAGTGGCAGAAAAAGCTAATCATAAAACTTTCAGCATATAAGTATAATAAGGGTTTCTGAAAAGGAAGAGATTGTTGTGGACTAGAATAGCCAAATGGTTTTGTGGCTTCATGGAAGAATAAAACCAAGAAGGGAAGGTGTCAGCAAAGGACAGTAGTGCCTTCCTAGTTTCATTATATATCGAACCTGCTTAACACATGACATCTGGGAAGAGCTGCAGGGAATGATTTTCACGTATGATGATCTCATCTAATCCTTAACACTGTGAGACAGATTCGAATATCCCCATTTTACCCATGAGGAAATAGGCTCAGAGAGATGTTGTTCATGTAGCTGTTAAACGGCAGAGATTTAGGCCAGACGTGGTGGCTCACACCTGTAATCCCAGCACTTTGGAAGGCCGAGGCGGGCGGATCACTTGAGGCCAGGAATTCGAGAGCAGCCTGGCCAACATGGTGAAACCCTGTCTCTACTAAAAATACAAAAATAAGCCAGGTGTGGTGGTGCATGCCTGTAATCGCAGCTACTCGGGAGGCTGAAGCAGGAGAATCCCTTGAACTCAGGAGGCAGAGGTTGCAGTGAGCCAAGATCACGCAACTGCACTCCAGCCTGGGCAACAAAGAGAGACTCTGTCTCAAAAAAAAAAAAAAAAAAAAAAAAAAAGGCAGAGAACTGGGTCTTTCTGACTCCAAACTTCGTGCTCTTAATCTTCATCCTTCTATGTTATACTGAACAGAAAACAAAATTTTCTTTGGACATTTGAGGGTGAGCTGTTCTTTCTGTTGTGCATTAATGTGTTAGTTGCTGGATTCCTCCTAAACATCAGCTCCTCAAGGCAGAGATTTTAGTCTGTTTTGTTCATGTTGTGTTCCAGTGCCTGGTGCTTAGTAGGAGGTCAATAAATGAACAAATCAAAGGAAATAAATGGGGTGATGAGATAGAGAGTACCTTATCGGGGAGAGAAATGCAATGGCTGGTCACCCCAAGGAGGTGAAGGTAGGGAGAGCAGGAAGCATGAGGAGGAGCCAGCAGCAGCCCTCCCAGGGAGGAATTCTGAACAAGGCTCGGGGGAGTGAAAGAACCTGCCAGCTGATAAATGGCACAGCCTGAGTTCAACTCCAATGCCCATGGTTTAGTCTGAGCTGAACTGGTAGACTAAGGGAAGTGGAGTGGTCTTACTTAAGGAAGGGTAGAAGCCAAGTGGGAGATACAGGTAAGGAAGCTGTGACAAGAAAGGGAAACCTACAGGACAGTGGGTCTGGAGCATTCTTGGCCCATAGGGGCTGGAGTGGCTAAGACAGGGTCGTCTTTGGAGTCTCACGGGGCAAGGAATTTGTCAGCAAGGACCCTGAAATTGCTGAGGAAGAAACTGGGAGAAGAGGAAGAAGATTCTGCAGATTCTGAAATCGTCTAGTGAGTCTGAGCTAGGCCTGGGAGGAAGTGGACAGCAGCGCCAACGAGTTGATGAGAATGACATATGTGGCACGGACACCAAAAGGTCAGACTAGGCTGGGCATGGTGGCTTACACCTGTAATCCCAGCACTTTAGGAGGCTGAGGCAGGGGGATCACTTGATGCCAGGAGTTTGAGACCAGCATAGGCAACATAGCAAGACCCCATCTCTACAAAAAATAAATTAGCCGGATGTGGTAGTGCACACCTGTAGTCCCAGCTGCTTTGGAGGCAGAGGCAGGAGGACTGCTTGAGCCCAGGAGTTTAAGGCTGCAGTGAGCTATAGTCACGCCACTGCATTCCAGCCTGGATAACAGAGCAAAGCCCTATCTAAAAAATAAAAATAAAAGGTCACATTAGAGAGCAGTAGTGTTTCAGACATCCAGGAATGCTTCATAGAAATGTAGAAACAATTGACTTACCCACACAGACAAGAAAGAAGGCAGGAGGGCAAAAGGTGAAGAGATACACAGATAAATTTACACTGGTGTAAACACATGCTGCAAACACGCGCACACACACGCACACGCACATGCACATGCACATGCCAACCAAATCCTAGCATTCATGTGGAATGTTCCTGGCTGAAGACATAACAGCTGCATCTCTGGCCTCCCTTCACCTGCCCCTCCCTTCCCCAGTAGCTTTTTCCCATGGCCTCTCCTCAGTCCTTTTCACTCCACCAAAGCAAACCTAGGACTGCCCCAGCCACTGAGGCCTTGCCCTGGCCACGAACTCTAGCCCTTATCCTGGTTCGAGTCTGAGTGTGGGCCATGCCTCACATGGGAATCAGACTGGGTTTCCCTTGCCCAGCCCTCCAGGCCCCAGGGTGCTGTCTCTGCACCTGCACTCCCCTGTCCACATCAAACTGGGTTTCCCTTGCCCGGGCCTCCAGGTCCCAAGGTGCTGTCTTTGCACCTGCACTCCACTGTCCACATCAGACTGGGTTTCCCTCGCCCGGGCCTCCAGGCCCCAGGGCACTGTCTCTGCACGTGCACTGCCCTGTTCGCATCAGACTGGGTTTCCCTTTCCCGGCACTCCAGGCCCCAGGGCACTGTCTTTACACCTGCACTGCCCTGTCTGCATCTCTTCTGTCTTTCTGTGCCTCTTGCCCTTAGAGCTCCTTGTCTGTCTTTCAGTGCATATACCAGAATGTCTGTATGTCTATGTGAAATCTTTTTGTGGGAATGCCTGAATTTTTACGTATGTGACTTTCTGGTGTCATCCCTAAGGCCAAGAGTGTTAAGAGTTGGGGTGAGAGATGGTAGAGTTTTTTATGTTTGGCTCTCCACATTATATAGGTTCTAGGATATGTCCCTGAAACTACAACGTAGCTCATACATGGGCATTTTTATAAGACTAAGTGTTTTTATGGGTGGACCTCCTGATTCTCTGCCATGAGCTAGGCCTGAGATTTTACAGACCTAGGACTAACTGCAGTCACCTGGACACCAGAGATCTGTAACTGTCAACCGTAAAGAGAGAGAGTATATTTGCTTCTTTGGGGTTGAAACCATACTGACGTAATATAAACAGAATTTGGTCAGCACCATCAGGCAAACATAGTCTGCTCGATAAGGAAACTGTGAGAGTCAAATGGAACTTTTGAAGAATCTAGACCAAGCTGAACTTCCCTGCCATATTCACCCCTGCCTCACGCCTCTCCCTGTTCACCCCTGGCTGGCTGGCTGCATCCTGGGGAATGCTTCTGCTCCATCGGGGTACCCTTCCTCCTCTGCATCTCCTCAAGAGAAGTGTAACCAAGACACATAGAAGAAGCACAGACTAACACACCTTCCCCCATAGTACATCATCTCCACCCTCCACAGCCTCATGTTATGCTCCTGTGTCCTTCACAGTCTCCCCTCCCATACCCTGCCATCCCGGTGTGGGGGCTGTAAATCCAGTTTGCATCCATAAAGAGCCCTGGTGCAAGGCTGGACAGCAATGGCCCTCAGAGAACAGAACAGGCTCAGGAGGGGCCAGGCAGTGCTCGAGCCTCGGGTGAGCAAGCGCAGGGCTTTTCAAAGCAGACCATCTGCAGGAGGGGGACCGCCCTCACTCAAGGCGCAGTCATGTTCCCTTGGGGAACTTTCAGAGCTGAGTGGGCTTTGCCCCCCTCATGTAACTGCTCCCTGGATTTAAGGAGTTTTGATTCCATTTTTTAATGACTTTCCTTCTCCTGAGAAGCATCTGTCTCCATGGCTGCCTCGGGTTGGCTACAGTAGTAGAAAGTATGACTCTACCCTGCTGTCATACCTGGGTGGGAAAAGTCAACAAACGAGTAACGGGAGAAGCAAGGAAGCCCCTGGGGTGGGTTGGTCAGGGAAGCCCCTTTGAGATAGTCTGGGGCATGAGAAGACCTGGCCGTGACCTCAGTGTGTTGTTTCTGCCCATGCTGCCACAGGTTAGCAGAGGAGCCGGACACAGAGGAAGCTCAGGTGAGTACAAAGAGTCCTCTGCCTCCCCACGGCCCCTCCCTCCTTCCTCAGCATCTTCCCTTCCCCTCCCTTCCTGCAGTCACAGGTCCCTAGCCAGGGCAGTCCTAACAGGTGAAGATGCAAGAGCCCAACTGTCCCTTCCCTTTGCCCACCCCAGCCATGTGCCCTCCTTGCCCTGTTTCTAGGCTGTGTCCTGTCTTGCACAGCACTGTCTGCAGGCCTGGTCCTTGGGCATGGCCTGGTGTCCTCTGTGTTGGGATGGCATTGGCAGACCCGACACTGCTGGCTGAAACAGGGTGTGCTGAGCAAGGCCACCTCCCTGGGGAGCACTGCCTCCCATGCTCCTTTCCCACAGCCACTGCCCACTTCCTTCCTGGGATCCAAACCACAGCCAGTGCGTCCCTGGATTCTGTCACCCAGCACTGCACCGAATCACAGTCCCTGACCCACAGACATGTGATTCATGCAGGATCACACTGACTACAGGGCTGACCAAGCCGCTTCCCATGGTGCCCGGCCAAGCTGCACCTTCTCACTTCCTGAAGAAGCAATGCAGAAAAGTACGGACTGCTCCAGTGGCAGATGCTCATTGCCTTTAGGAATTAGTCATTCCCATTTTCCAGCTCAACACCTTAATTCTTTCTAGTCCCAGCACCAAGATATCAGACTTCTCCATTTTAAAATCTTGTCTTCCCTCCCCTCCTCCCACCCCCCCACCTCTTATATTTAAAAATTAGGCATCTTCCTCGAATAAAGAAGTCAGGGCCCTAGCTGCACAATCCAGAAAAGGGGTTTTTTCAGACCCTCCCAAGTCGTGTCATCCTGGAATAGCCTCTGGCCCTCTCTGCCCAACCGCGCCAGGCCATTGAAGGCCTCTGCCCGCTCCCCCGGGGCCCCTGCAGCCTCGGCCTGCGCTGACTCTGGATTGTGCGAGCTGAGGAGAGGGCAGCACCTGGGCCACGCACATTCTCTCGCTGCCCTGGAAATCACAGCGCCCCAGGGGCTTGGAGAGAGGCTTCTCCCTAAACTCACTGTGCACATTCAGGCAAGGCCCTTTCCCAAGCAAGCCTAGGCCGTGGCAGCCGAGGAGGGAAATCAGGAACTGACTCGCCCTGCAGGAGCCTGCCAGAGCCCCTCTCTCCCCGGGGCAGAAGGAACTGGGGTGCAAGGGAACGTGGCAGAGCCATGTGCCCCCACCGCCTTGTTGCACATGGAGGAAACCAATGCCCCACACCAGAAGCTCCATGCCAGAAGCAGAATTGGAGCCGGGTCTTCTGCCTCCTAATCCTGCGCTCTCTGACCCACATCAGGGGTGATGAGAAACACCAACAGCCGAGAGTTAAACTAAGAGTATAAAACTTGGGTGCCGCGGATTCATGGATGCCCAGGCCTGCGCTCTGCTGGCCGGGGGCTGAGGCTTCCTCCCTTTCCTCTTAGTATTCATCGGCACACCTCAGTCCTCCCTGCCCTTCTCCTGGGCCACAATTCTCCCCAAGAAATCACCCCATTCAAACCTTGCATTGTGAACCCAATTCTTTCTTCCACGGAAACACTTCCTGACCCTTAGGAATGATGGCAGAGGACCCTAGGTACCACCCTTCAGCCCAACGCTTGAAAGGCGCCCAGCATCCTAGCAGCCCCTCCCTGCAGGGCCTCCTGTTCACAGTAGATGTTAGCAGCTTTTGTCCTGAACCCTCAACAGTGCCCGTGACTAACGGTGAGTGTGTCTTGCGCAGGCACAGAGGACGAGGAGCAAGCTGGCGCCGACATGGCGAAGGCAAGGTCTTCCCCCAGAGGCACATTCCTCTCCATCTTTCCACCGCACACCTGGACCAGGCTTGCAGGCTGCCAGACGTCACTCCACCCGCCAGGGAGAGGGGAGCCAGAGCCGGTGGGAAGCGGGGAGGGGCTGCGTGGCACAGCTAGTGGGCCTCCCCCTGCACAGCCCTGCATGTACTAGCACCTTCATCACTCCCCTCAGGGCATGGTCTCATCTCCGCATCAGGAATTCACCTGGAGGTTGAAAAGAGAAAAGAAAAAGCACCAAGCTCTTGTGTGTTTGTGACCTGATGAAACACTTCCTGGCGTCTGGCCAGCACGTGGGGTGCTCCTGAACGTGGGGGCACAAGTTTCCTTATCTTTGACCTTTAAAAACCAACAGGTTTCTTCCAGCGTGCAAAGAAAGCGTCAGGCCTTGCTCGGCTCTGTAGACATTCACACCCTGGCCACGGTGCTAAAAATAGTCTCACACTGGTTAGGCTTCCGCCCGCCCCGTGTGATGCCGCCGCCTGCAGCCCGGGAGGGAGGGGCGGAGACCCAGCCGCGCGCCGCAGCCGGGCTGAGCCTCCTCGGAGAGGGCGGGAGGGTCTCTGCGCCGCGGACTCCGTGGCCGCCAGGGGGCGCGCCGCCGGGGGCGCTGCTCGCAGCCTCTCGCCTTAGGGGTCGATTGGGCTCGGGCACACGTGATCAAGTCCCGTTCCCGGTGATTTTCATTTATTTTTTCCTCCTCCCTGGGCTCCAGGATGTTATTTTTAGCAGAAGAACTGCTATAAATATTTATAAAGGGCAGTGACTGTAATGAAGCGAGAAGCCCCACAGCTGGCTCCCCAGCATCCCTCACCCACCTCTGCAGACCCCTGCCCTTGGCTTTGAGGAGGTCTGTGCAGAGACGGTGGGATCAACTCCTGGCCGCACACGGATGGAGTCCCAGGCAAGCCTGCCAAGGCCCAGTCAGGGTAAAATAGAAGGGGTGGGTGTTCACACCTTCCGTCCTTTCCTCTCTGTCTCTTCTCCCCCATAGCTCATCTTCCCATTGGTTGGCACTGTGTCCCCACGAGCTTTCCACGGAGTTGCGCTCACCGTGGCCCCTCTCTGGCTCTTCAGGCAAGCAGAGCTCCCTGTTTCCAAGGGCGTGGGGCCCTCTTCTCTGCCCAAGCCCCTGCTGACTCTCTGTGTTTTCAGCTCTGAGGCCAGCACTCAGGTACCGGGTGCACTCTGGTGATACCCGTTCTTGCTGAGGTTGATTTCTCGTAGAGCTAGAAAACCCGCCATTACCTAAGCCCCGAGCTCCCTCATGACTGTTGGCGTCTGCTTTAGGACCCACATGCCTGTCAGACCTTTGGAACTGGGTCCCTTTCCTCAATCCTGGCGAGGAACACAGGTGGTCATCACGGAAGGAAGATGGGCACTTCCATCTTAATTGCTCTGTGACCACTGAGCAGGCTAATTTAACCTAGGTAGACGGTTTTTTGAGAAACTGCAGCATCACTGACTCCTGGGTGAGCCAGGCTGCCGTGCAGCACCACAGCCTGGGCTGGCGCTGTTTTGCAGTGCTGGAGGACCCCGGGAGGGCTACCAAATGCATCGTGGGTCTTGAGGAAGCAACAGCTCCACCGAGTTCTTGTCCATAAGTCCCAGCCACCCTGAGCTTCCTCTTCCCTTCGCAGCCCCTCTCATCTGCTGGTGAGGCTTCAACCACTGGCAGACGTGCTCCTCTTCGGGCTGCTTACTGTGCTCCTGCAGCCCATAAGCGCTTCGGAGGGGTGCAGTTGCTATGGCAATGCCTACAGCCATCTGAATTCCTGCTGCACCTTCTGGGAGAAAAGAGCTCATGAAGAGGCATTCGGTGGATTCCCAGTCTGGCCTCTGGCCTCTGCACTGTCAGGAGTCAGCTGATGGGTTACATGCCGGACACGTGGGAGGTAGGTAGCCTGCCTTCCTTGGGAAGACACACTCTGTACCCGCAAGCCTCATGCGCCCGGACGGGTTCTCCTTGTGTGGATCAGAAAACTAAATGAAGTGTCCTACTCAGGGCTCCTAGGTAATATACTGCACCAGTGGTTCTCAGACTTAAGCATGCCCGTGAATCCCCTGGAGTGCTTGTTAAAATACAGATAGCATGGCCATGCCTCCAGAGTCTCGGATTCAGCAGGTCTTGGGTAGAACCAGAGAATTTGCAGTCAACAAGCTCACAGGTGACGGTGGTGCCGTTGGTCCAAAGACCACACTCTGAGATTCACAGGACAACACTTGGATGAAGAAGAAAACAAAGCAGTGCAGGAAGCCATCGCCCATCAGTGAAGAAGGGCCAGAGTCAGCCGTCTATTTTAAAGGAAGAAAGGGCCCTGGGCATGGGTGCTGGAACTGGGATCCCTAGTCTAAGTTGGTTTTGGTCCCCAGCAATCAATGAAGACTCTCCCAGACATGAAGGTGGGCAGCACTGAGGCAAGGCCTGTAAGGTACAGAAGACCGACATCATGGAGGCCCAGCGACAGGGAGTTACTTCTCAGTCTATAGTCTCAGTGGTAGGGAGTGCTGAAGGCCTGCCTGGCTCAGGAGGGATGACAGGGGAGAGGGGGTGTTGCAGGCACCTAACCCCCACAGCCAGAGCCTGGACACCAAGATGCTTTCCCCAGGATGCAAATACCATCTTCCACACGAAACAACATCCAGGCCCAGATGGGCTGCTTCAGGCTACCGGAAGCTCCATCTCCTATGGGCATTGAATTCTTTTCAGAGGGAAAATGATTACTAGAGAACCTAGTAATTCGATGTTACTTACAGGTCTCCCCAGTTAAAGTAGCAGATCCCAGGGACTCTGGTGCCTTCTCTGCACTTAACCTTACTTGAGAAGCCAGGACTCTGTAGGTAGTGGGCTTGGAGTCTCTCCTGCCTCCTGCACAGGCGCGTCTGCAAACAGGTGGAGGACACTGGCTCCGTCTTCCCTCTGCTTCCTACTTCCAAGGGGGGACAGCTGGGGTAGGACCATGGCATAAAAGAAATGGGCATCAAATCCTTTCACCAGTTCCAAAAAGCAATATGAGTCTACTAGTTCTGTGACAGTTTGAATGGGTTGTGACTGCTTTCATGTTGAAAATTTAAAATCTCTAAGGGAGGTCATGAGAACTAGAACTTGCTGGGAATGGAGTTGGGAGGCAGGTGTTGAAGACAAAAACACCAGGTAGCCATCCTTGTATTTCTGAAGTAAATGGAGCCTGTCATTGCTAAAGGTGGAGATTCAGAAGGGACTTATAGGCTAGAGGTGGGACTGTTGTTTATTCAGGCAGATGCTTCACGGGCACCAACTGTGTGCTGGGCACGAAGCCCCTTCCTCAGGCCTTCAGGCCTCACTGGCTCCAGGGTCTTAGAGCTTAAGGTTGGAATCTGGTCTGGGTTCGAAACTGTATAGTGAAGGGTGGGCTTGGAGGAACGGGCTGCCCTATGAACACGTCAGACTCAGGACAGTGGGTGCAAAGTGAGGCCACCCTGGGGAGGAAAAGGCTGTGGTTCCCTACTCAGTGTCTGTTCTAGGTGCTGAGAAGGATGGGTCCTTGGGCTCAGGGGTGGGATGGGAGACTGGGAGGAGTGGGACCCGAGGAACCCAGGGGTGTGTCCTTGAGTTCAAGAGTCACGGCAAACATACAGAGGCCTTACAGCCCCCTGGGACCCAGCTCACTGCTGGCTCAAAACGAGTCCGTTACCACGCAGTCAGTGATGGCCTCAGTCAGCCCCAGCAAGTCCTCAACCAGGTGGCAGAAACACCTGTCCAAAGCTTGGCCTACAGCCATGGCCACACTGCCAGGCAGAGTTCATAGGCCTGACGCCAGGGGTAGTGGCACGGGCAGATAATCTCACCCCATTTTGGCAAGGTGCACAGAGAGTCCTCAGAGCACAAGCGTGGCTGCGGGCACACCCTGGCGGGGCCCCTGGCTTAAACGGTACAGGCCGAAGGTGCTGCCGTTCTCCCCAGGAGAGCAGCCTGTGCTGGAGCCCGGGAAACAAGGCCTCTGGCTCAGTGCCTGACTCAGGACTGGGGCAGCTGTCCGCCCCGCCCCCCACCTTCCGGCCTGAAGGGCACCTGTACCCATCAGGCTTTTTGTTCAGGCCTCAGCGCGTGAGCCACACTGTCTCCACCACCATGGCGTGGTCCCAAGACCTTAGTCACTTTGTCTCTTTCCCTCCCTGCCTGGAAAGGCCTCCTGTGCCAGGCACCCATGGCCCTCACTGAGGAGATTCAGCCTGGGCTCCACGTCTGAAGCGTCTGGAAGTCCTCCCCACAGCTCCTCCCAATCCCAGGCCTGTTTCCTTTCCTTCAGACGAGGCCCCGTGGCTCCTCCTTCCTCCTCCACAAAACCTATTGGCCATGGGTGCCGACAAGAAGCAGCAGGTCCTCTGCTTCCCAGCCAGAAACAGCAGGGAGCTGCCCTGGTGAGGACCCTGCCCTCCTTGGCCTTGCTCGTGTGCCCTCCTAGGGCTGCCCTGATGGGCTGGTCTTTTGGAAAAAGGAATATGCCCTGGGCCTGCTGAGAAGGAGGCCACGCAGCGAGGAGGCAGGCGGCCCAGGAATCGCTCTGGCCCAAGGGCCTGGCACAAATGTTGGCTGTGAGGGAGCCAGGCGGGAGATCCTGCAGAGATGTTCGAGCTTCCTTCTGGACCAGCTCCTGGGGATGAGCCAGGCTGGGGACAGTGGGGCTGAGGGTTAACAAGGAGGTCTCCTGGCTGGGCTGGGACGCAGTCCCCTCCTCCGTGGGCTCCTCTTTTCTCCTGACTGCTGGTTGGTGTTTGTCCTACTTTCCTCATTGCCTAGGCAACCATTTCAGGTTCACCCTTTGCCACCCAGCCTACCCCCGGGAGCCCAGAGCCCAGCTCTTCCCACTCCCGGAGGAGGAGAACAAAGAAACGAGGCACACCGAGAACAGCAGGGTGACGCCAGGGACACGTGGGCTGAAGAGCCAGGGGCAAGGAGAGGGAAAGAGAACGAAGGGGATGAGAAGAGAGGCAGAGCTGGAGCTGACGGGGAGCCATGGACACTGGGATACGGTGGCCGCACGGCAGGCCTGAGGCCAGGGAAGGTGGAGGAAGGAAGCCAGGAAGGGCCCTGGGGGAGAAAAGCTGACAAGGAGGCCGATTTGAGGTGGACTCTCCGAGCCGCATCCTGGGCTTGTGGGAATCGTTCCTTTGTCCCATTGTTGCCACAGCTCATTAGCCCTGGATTTTACCCTAATTAGATCCCCACTTGCTTTCCACCAGGATATCCCATTAGCCAGGGCTGCAGATGACCTTCCGCTGGGATCCTGCCCCTAGCCCGGCCCCTGCCCCACGCGCAGGCCCTGACCTCACTGCCTGCCTCCTCTACCCCAGGAGGCTCTTATCTCCCCAGCCCCGCCCTTCTCCCCACATCCCACCCTTACCCCAGCCCGGTCTACAGTGCTCAAGGCGGGTGATGGAATTTCCCTGGGGGGTGTCGGCTTCAAGGAGTCCAGCTTATCTTCCTGCCTTCCGCCATCACTGTTGAGTCGAGAGGAATGAGATTGGGGTCACTGGGAGGCCTCTGGAGCCGAACTGCAAACCATGGGGTTTAAAGCCAGGGTGGAGCTGGGAGAGGCCCTTGTTCAACTCTGTTTACTGAGGCCCCTACCCTGACGGCCCACGCCCCCTCGCCTAACTGCTCTTTACCTGCCCCCATTTTATGATAGAGCCTGGGTCTTTATTCTTCCGCATGCTGTGTTAAGGGGAGACTAGGCTCCCTGGACTAGGTCACTCCCTGGCTGTGTTGTGCACGCACAGTTCCCCGCAAAAAAAAAAAAAAAAAAAAAAAAAAAAATGACTTTCGACTCAGCACACTCAGGCACACCCAAGGCAGGAACTCACTTCCAGCAGGGGTCTGGGGGATCTTAGAAGCTCAGAAACCACAGCCAGCCCCAACCACTGCTAGAGAGCACCATCCAGGCATGTGGAGAGGTACCGAGAAAATGGAACTCTGCTTGGGGAAACCAGAGAGCAGAGCTGCTTAAAGACACCTAGGAGGGGGTGAATAAAGGAAAACACTAGAACCGAAAGAATAGCGAGATCATGACACACAGGATCGCGTGTGACCGTTCTGTAAGCTGCACGCACGTTGGGCTTCTGAGTCACTGGTGACCAGATCCAGGTGGGTTTCTTCAAGAGGGCTTGGCTCTAAAGGGAAGGGAACAAGTGCATGTGAAGTGCCTACTGTGTGCCGGGTGTGCTCACCTATGTGATCTTAGTGTCATCTGCTCAGCAAAACTGTGATGTGATATTATCGATTCCCAGGGGAACAGGGCCTGAAGAGGTCGGGCGTCCTCATGTAGTTAGAAAGGAGAAACCCCATCTGTCTGTTGGGCTCTGATGCTCCATCACTTCCCACTGTCGACGAAAAGAGTTGAACTCTGTGAAATATTTGAAGAGATTTATTCTGAGCCAAATATGAGAGATCATGACCCGTGACACAGCCCTTAGGAGGTCCTGAGAACATGCGCCCAAGGTGGTCAGGGCGCAGCTTGGTTTTATACATTTTAGAGAGGCACGAGACATCAATGAAATACATTTAAGAAATACATTGGTTTGGTCCAGAAAGGCGGGACAACTCAAAGGTGGGGGAGGGGGAAGGGGTGGAGGGGGTGGTTCCAGGCTGTAGGTGAATTTAAACATTTTCTGGTTGACAATTGGTTGAGTTTGTCTAAAGACCTGGGATTCATAGAAAGGGAATGTTCAGGTTAAGGTAAAGATTGTGGAAAAAGTTCTTTTGAAGTCTAATAGTGGCTGCCCTTAGAGACAATAGATGACAAAAGTTTCCTATTCAGATCTTAGTTCATCTCTTTAGGATTGGGAGGGTCAGGAAGAAAAAGATCTAGCTACGATAATAGACATTCTTTACAGATGCAAATTTTCCCCCCACAAAAAACAGCTTTGTGCAGGGCCTTTTCAAAATATGGCAAAGAAACATGTTTTGGGGTAAAATATTTTTATTTTCTTCCTTGTCTCATAACGTTATGCCAGCCAGAGTCAGGCTGGAAAGTAAGTCACAATATATAGGGTTAAATGAAACCTATCTGATGAGAATTTATGATTTGTAGGGCATGACTCTCCAGACCCCTTAGATAGGAATTTGGGCAAGATAAAAAAAATCAGAGTTTAGTCCTCACCACAGTGTCAACTTGCTAATGTGATGGAATGGCAGCAAGATTTCAAAGAAGATTTTGGGGGAGAGAGCAGGGAGTGGCTCAGGGAAAGAAGTGGAGTGTTGAGTCAGTTGGCTTAATGGGAACCTGGTTTGCCCATTTTGAAAACCACAACGGAGAAATAATCACCCAGATCTACTATTTTTTCACCTTAAAACATCCTGGGGCCCGTCATCTTGCACCCTGGCTCTGCAGGGCAGGATTGGAAGGTCTCTGGGGGGCCCCGCTCCTCTGAAGGATCACCTGCCCCACCTGTCACATTCCTCCCTGGCCAGGCCTCACACTAAAGAGACTCGCCTGGCTCCACCAACACCCACTCCAGACTCTGTAGGGGGGTATCAGCAGAAATTGAATCTTTAGCCCCACAGAGAGGCTGTGACATTCCCACTGCCACTTAAGGGTTAGGGCTAGTCAGAGAATCATAGAACGTTAAAGTGTGAAGGAACCATCAGGACAGCTCAAGAAGCCGAAACCAAGCAAATCAGATGGCCCAGGGCCACACAGGGAAGGAGTGGAGGGGTCCCTGCGGGAGTGCTGCCCCTTCCAGGCCTCCTCTGTCACCAGAGGAGCTGGTCCTGCTGCTTAGAGTCATATTAAACCTTTGGATGGGGTATGTAAGGACACTTTCCCCTGGAAAAATGCTACGTCACTCACTTTATATCCTGGCCTTAGGCCAACTGAGCCTTCACCCCACCCTCCCTGCCTAAGTCACCTCACCAAGCATCCTCTGGTACTGACGACGATGCTTTTGGCCTGGTTACCAAGCTTTCCTGACCACCTGATGGTAGGGCCCCTCCACATGGGCTATTCATCCTCCCAGAAGCAGGTCCTCCAGTGACTGATCTGCACTAATGTGGGCAAACAGAGGGCATCCTCCTCCTCTCTCTGCTTCTTTTCTTTGCAAAATTAGTGGGACAAATAGGTACAAGTTGCATGAAAATGAGATACAGTTCTTCATTTGCCATCCACACCAGGAGCACCAGGTCCCGGAGCCCAGCTGTGCATTAGATGTTGTCTCTGCAGCACAAGGTAGGAGGCTGCAGGATGTACCTGAGAAACGCAATCGCACAAAGCAATTGTTCAGCACCAAATATGGGGGACAGAAGAGTGCTAAGGGGAGAAGACTCCAACCATAAATAAATAAAATGGCAGCAAATTAGGAAATAACAGAAACCATACTGTCTCATGACGTCCATTCACTTGCTCATCACAGCCTATCCAAGGCTGCTTTCAGAGTTTCAGTGAGTTCTTCACTGTTCCCTACTCTTGTAAGCTCTTAAATATGCCTGCTCAGCTCCTCTTGCTTCTTTGTTTTTTAAAAACATACTAAAGGAACTATTTTTGCAGCAAAACCTTCCTCCTCGGATAAAACTTCACTTCACTGGCTCTGGCTTTTGAAGCCAGGCTTTCCCTCCTCCAAGCCAGCGCGCCTCCTCTGAGGTCCCTTTCAGTCTGGAGGCCTGTGGTGATGTCAGTGTGCCTCAGCTGTTTTCAATTAAACCCCTCGAGCTGAGCTGAATAAATGGCTTCAGCAAGCTGATTTTCCAAAGGGTCCACCTTATTTTGAACCAACATGTCAAAACAAAATCAATTCAACCTGAAACACATACAGTGCAAATAAATACATCTCTTCACAGATTTACCTTAAAAATTACAAGGGCAGGCTGGACACGGTGGCTCACGCCTGTAATCCCAGCACTTTGGGAGGCTGGGGCCCGTGGATCACCTAAGGTCAGGAGTTCGAGACCAGCCTGGCCAACATGGTGAAACTCCGCCTCTACTAAAAAATACAAACATTAGCCAGGCGTGGTGGCGGGCGCCTGTAATCCTAGCTACTTGGGAGGCTGAGGCAGGGAGAATTGCTTGAACCTGGGAAGTGGAGGTTGCAGTAAGCCAAGATCGTGCCACTGCATTCCAACCTGGATGGCAGTAAGCCAAGATCGTGCCACTGCATTCCAACCTGGATGACAGAATAAGACTCTGTCTTAAAAAAAAAAAAAAAAATTACAAGGGCAAAGCAAGATGCGAGGGCCTCTCCAGTCCCAGCCCCACAGCTCCCCTGGGGTGAGAAGGAGGGAGCTTTGATTTCAGTGTCCTCAAAGAAGGAGGCAAAGAAATGACAGCATAGCCCCGTGTCCTGGCCTCGGCATGGCTAAGACTGCTCCTGCCCGCCTCCTGCCCACCTCGGGCCCAGGACTAGGCCAGTTGAGGAGGAAGCATCACTTCACCTGCTGCCGCCTGTCTCCTTGGCCTGGTCCACCACAGCCGCCGGCCTGGTAGGTGCCCGTCCCTAAAGAAAGTCAGCTGCGGAGGCTAGAAGGGTGATACCTCTCAGCCCTGCACCAGGCTGAAATCCCCGCTCCCTGCCAAGTGCAGGGGTCCCCACGCTGACGCTGGCACTTGCTCCTGCCCCGTTTCATTTGCCAGCTTTGCTCTCTGGGAAGGGGCGCTCTGAGGGGAACCCTACCCGAGGGGCCAGGCCAGGATGGTTTGGACTAAGAGGTGGACGTTTTGGGTCTAAATTGGAGGGCAGAACAGAGGGTGGCCCAAAGTCTTATTTTGTTCAGCCCAGGAGGCGTTTTTAAGACAATTTAATGGGTTGCAAATGGTGAAATATCAGAAGATTTAACAGAAAAACCCAGATTTACAGTATCTCTGGAAAAGTTAGACTACCTGGCTCTACTGGTCCCACAATTCCCCCATGGCAACATGTCTGCTGAGACCCTCAGGCTCCCCCCACCGCCTGTAATCGCTGGCCATGCCTGTGTCAGGCAGCTGCTCCAGGGCGGCCATGGAACTGGCACTTTCCCAGCTCTGTGTGGGCATCGTTACATCCTCTGAAGCCCTGGCCAGAGAATGCCTTCCTGGGCCATTCTCAGGCAGCAGGCGACCTCCCTCTGACTCTAGAGAAGAATTAAGAACTGAGACAACTGGCTGGGCGTGATGGCTCGTGCCTGTAATCCTAGCACTTTGAGAGGCTGAGGCGGGTGGATCACCTGAGGTCAGGAGTTCGAGACCAGCCTGGCCAACATGGCAAAACCCCATCTCTACTAAAAATACAAAAATTAGCCAGGTGAGGTGGCGGGTGCCCGTAATCCCAGCTACTCAGGAGGCTGAGGCAGGAGAATCACTTGAACCCAGGAGGCAGAGGTTGCGGTGAGCCGGGATCGTGCCATTGCACTCTAGCCTGGGCTACAGAGCGAGACGCCATCTCAAAAAAAGAAAAGACAACTGAATTTCTGGGGAGCACAGATTTGTGGGAAAATGTCCACACTTACAATTATTCCATCCCCTTTTACCTTGTGGCTTCTGTGCAAAGCCACAGTTTTAGGACAGAAGATGCAGAGAGGGACCTCACTGCCGAGTCAGAGACGGTCCCCTAGGCCCCGGCCAGCTGCTTCCAATGTCTGCTGTCACTGCCTCTGCTCCCATCATTCAAGGCCGGGGGAACTCCAGTGGCAAAAGCCCCACACCCCCAATCTACATGTGGGTTACATTATTTTGTTCACCACTGGTCAGTGCAAAATTTGCATAGGTAATTCTCAAGTGCTGGTATTCCTGGCAGATGTGACACTGGGCCACCCCATAGTGATGGTGGGCCTGCCAATGACTGTCCAGGATGGCCTGGGGCTATAAGTAGGAAAGGAGAAGTTTTAGAGAAACAAGGAACTGAGGCAGAGTAGAGAGAAGCCCCTTCAACATAGGCAGAGTTGTGAAGTTAGTACCCACCCCGCCCAGTCACACGGGGCCTTGAACCCAAGAGTTGTTTTTTTTTTGTTTTTGTTTTTGTTTTTTGAGACAGCATCTTGCTCTGTCACCCAGGCTCAAGTGCAATGGCGTGATCATGGCTCACTGCAGCCTTGACTTCCCGGACTCAAGCAATCTTCCCATCTCAGCCTCCCAAGTATTAATAGCTGGGACTGTAAGCAAATGCCGCCATGCCTGGCTAGCTTTTTTTTCTTTTCTTTTCTTTTTTTTGTTTAAGATGGAGTCCAAAATCAGGACGCTAACAGCTGGATTTTTTTGAGATCCAGCCCAGGCTGGAGTGCAGTGGCATGATCTTGGCTCACTGCAACCTCTGCCTCCTGGGTTTTAACGATTCTTCTGCCTCAGCCTCCCGAGTAGCTGGGACTACAGGTGTGCGTCACCATGCCCAGCTAATTTTTGTATTTTTAGTAGAGATGGGGTTTCACCATATTGGCCAGGCCGGTCTCGAACTCCTGACCTCGTGGTCTACCTGCCTCGGCCTCCCAAAGTGCTAGGATTACAGGCCTGAGCGACTGCACCCAGCCTTTTTTTTTTTCTTTTTTTCTTTTTTTCTTTTTTTAAATAGAGACAGGGTTTTGCCATATTGCCCAGGCTGAGCTCAAGCAAGGGGCTTGTCTCAAACTCTTGGGCCCACCTTGGCCTCCCAAAGTGCTGGGATTACAGTTGAGCCTCCGCACCTGGCTCCTCTGAGCTTTTTAACATGCTCTTCTTGTCTTCCTGAACCAACTATAAGGTCCCTAAAGTCAGGGATAGTGATATACACCTTCGAGTCCCTCAAAATGTGCGAATACTATGTTCTCCAAGATCCCTGGTAACTAAAATGAGTGCTTGTGGACAAATACCTAACACGCAAATGATTTACTAAATATATAGAGAGATAATGCAGGTAATTAAATTTCTGCCTGTTAACCAACACACATGAAATGCTAGGATAGTGTCTGAACAAAGTTTACAAATAATAGTACTATTTTATTGCTTTAAAAAAATCCACCTGTCTTCCTGAATGACGCACCACCCACCCCACCCCAGCCCAAAGCTAAAGCATCCTGGACAAGTTCTTATGCAAAGGAGCAGGCCTGTCTCAGGCCTCTAGAAGAGTCGGCTCCTGCCTGGAGGCACTTCCTGGCTAGGTGGGAGACAGTCCAATCACCATGGCCCACAGGAAGCAATAGCTCACTCTGTGCCAGTTACCGCTGAGGGTATTCCTGCTCGGGAACACCCAAATGAGGTATAAACTTTCCCCCAGACACTTGAAACTTGAAAACTTCCCACCAACCTGAAACACGGGAGCAGGAGCTAGAAGACAGGGTGCTGGCACACGGTGGGTGCCAGTTCCCACCAGCCTGAAACATGGGAGAAGGAGCTAAAAGACAGTGCTGGCACACAATGGGTGCCAATTCTGAATGGCAAATGACTAATGTATTGTGACCCGGAGGGTGTGCTGGCCTGGAAATGAAGCTTATGTTAGAACCTAACGATTGTGCAGACTGGCCCTGGAATGGGGAAAAGACTGCTTTTTAGTGTGGTTAATGAATACGTGTTTTAAGGCGATGCCGAGGGTGTCCATCTGTAGAGAAAACTTGGAGAGGCTAACGAGGATGGGAAAGCTTGCACAGTCACTAAGAGGGGATCTGAGGTGTGGGTCCAGGACCCATGATTGTCTGGTGTGCCCGCTGCCCACCCAGCTGCCTGGGAAAGACTGGGCGCCTGTGTCCCAGCCTCTGGTTATTGTCTGAGGGCTCCCAACCCCGCTCCAACTCCCACGTCCTGCTTGTCTCTTGCTCAGCTCTGTCTGTGCTCCACCCTCAGCTCACCTGCCCATTGACGTGACCTGCCCAGCTCCCAGGAGCATTTATATGTGTGACTCCTGCCCTCTGCTCCAACCTTGGTCCCTAAGTCATCCAGTCCTGCTGGGGTGCCTCCAGCTGCCCCGGGCTTCCTCCATGATCTCCCTAGACCTGGTCTAAATCTGTCACCTCTTGCCTCAATTTGCCCTTTTGAATCTTCTCCCTTTCCTTTTTCTGCGAGTCTGCACCCTGCTGGCCCCTTGCTAAGTCTCCTCCTTCTGTCCCTGTCTTTGCTCCCAAGGGTCCTCACCAGCGAGGGTTCTGCCTTCTTCTCTGGAGTTGTCTCATCCTCCCTGTTTCTTGGAGGCCTGTCTGGGGCCCTGCTTCTCAGGGAGGTACCTGAGGGTTCCTGGGATCCCTGGGGACCATGCCTTCCTGGACAGCTATAGGGTTCAATGGAAAAGCATGGGTTCTGGAGGGCAGGCACACCTTCATTTGAATCCTGACGCTGCTCCTTTCTAGAGTGACCTCAGGTCACTGCCTTATTCTCTGCATCTATAAAATGAAGATAATTCCAACCTATTTAGTTGTTCTAAGGATTATATTAAAATGTGTAAGAGACCTGGAGCAGGGCTGAGCACATAGCAAATGAGTAATAATGGTTGCTTTCCTTTCTTCCTCTGACACTAGTGTCTGCACCATCCACTGGGCACTGTGGGTCAAGCCACACTGAGCCGCACTGGCCAGACCCTACCTGGACTCATAGGCGAGAGGCTACAGTGATGGGGACAAGGGAACCTGGTACTGCCAGGGCCCAAGCCCCACGCCCGGTGCCAGGTGGCTGAGGATCTCCCCAGGCCTGGCACGGGTGCTCAGGCTTGGGGCGCTGATTTGTCTCCCCTGCCCAGACATGTAAAGGGCCACTTAAGGAGGTCGAGGGGTGGAGTCCAGGGCCCTGAGCCAAATCTCTGCCCAGGCTGTAGCCCTCAAGTCATGGGAAAATCTGCTTCTGGGGTGGAGGCTGGTCTTGGAATGGCAGGTAAGGAGCAGGACAGGATGGGGAGGACCACCTCGCAGACCTCACTCTCACCACCAGGTATACACACACTTGTGACTTGCTTGCCCCCTCAGTGGGTGAGCAGTTTCTTCAAGCCCTTGAAACGCCAAGGTCTTGTCACAGTTTTCTCCCGGGGCAAAGGGGCTACTTTCCCCTACACTAAAGAGAGCCCTCTCCGAACAATTTATTCTTTGCCAGAGATACTGGGCTCTGTGCAGGCTCCTAGAGGGAGCTTTCTCTACCGATCAAGAAGCATCTGCTTCCCTTATTCACTTAGCAAAAATTTCTTCTTTTTTTTTTTTTTTTTTTTTTTTTTTTTTTTTTTTTTTTTGCGGCGGAGTCTCACTCTGTCTCCCAGGCTGGAGTACAGTAGTATGATCGGCTCACCACAACCTCTGCCTCCCAGATTCAAGCCATTCTCCTGCCTCAGCCTCCCGAGTAGCTGGGATTACAGGCGCCTGCCACCATGCCCGGCTAATTTTTATATTTTGAGTAGAGACGGGGTTTCAGCATGTTGGCCAGGCTGGTCTTGAACTCCTGACCTCGTGATCCACCCGCCTCAGCCTCCCAAAGTGCTAAAATTACAGTCGTGAGCCACCGCGCCTGGCCCCAGAGATGGCTTTCTGTCCTGAGCAAGAAGGAAATATTCTGGAAGTTATACTTTCCAATGCTTTCCTCCCCACCAACCGGACAAAAGGCCAGGGGCCCACTCCAGCTGCCCTAGGGAATCCCCCAACATCTCACCTCTCCTTAGCTCCTCTGGGCTTCTGCAGTGACATCAGTGTGACTTCAGCACTGCGCTTTTTGAGCTAGCGGCTCTGCTCCGCTGCCCTCGGGCCCCACTTCCTCTAAATTCCCCGTTCCTCTCCCCGTGGCTCCACTTCTTCTTCGGGGCCGTGGCAGCGTTCTTCAATGTTCCCCGTGCACAGCCTGGATCCTGGCTGCCGCCTGTCCTACCTGTCCACGAGCTCCCCCTCTTTTTTTCCTCACTCTTGACTCAGAGAAACCCCACCCAATGCCTGCCAGATAGCGGAAGCTTAACAATCAGTTGTTAGATGTGCAAATAAAATACAGCCACAGATCGTTATATTGGTAACACAAACACAACATTCAGAGACCAAGAAAATGAAAAAGGGAGGTCTAGAAGGTCCTCACCTTCGTTCTTTTGTAAATAACGATGTCTTTATTATCAACAGGTCCCACCAAGGATTTTCCTGGTGTGTAAATTTATGAGGTGTCTTATAAAGGAATGACAAATGGAAAACACAGTTCATTATACACTTAACAAATTGCCTTTATTAAAAAAACAAAAACCAGGAAATCAGGATTGTCCTTGAGGAGTGAACACACCCAGGGGCCATGCCCCAAATGTTCTTTCTGTGTCAAGTGAGCCAACCCCGTCCCCTCTGTCCCATTCCCACACACACGTTTCCTCTTGCGCAGCTCAGGCACCGGGACTGGGTCCCCTCCCTAGCCCTGCCGGGAAGGAGAAAAGAAAGCGAGACTGAGCCCAGCCAATCAACAGTCAGCATTTCTGAAGCTCCTCCCCAAATACAAATATGCGCTCCGCCCCCGCTAGCGCCACCTGGAGGGTGAAGAGCGAAATGCGGCGACTGCACTGGGTCCTCGGCCTGGCGGAGCCGCCCACTTCGCTGGTTTTTGCAGCCGATGGAGACCCGGACTCCGCTCCGAAACCTGCTGACCGCGGTGGGGTTATTCGGAGCGGAGCCGCCGAGGGGCTGTCGAGCGCTTTTGAATCTGTTTACTTGAAATGACTTTCCCCACAACTTTCCCTGATTTCTATTCCCACTTGACCAAAAGAATGAGTTTGATGTGGAAAAGTGGCCAGAAAAGTGGCAATAGTGGTGTTAGGTGCTCAATGGCATCTCTTTGGGCTCAGCCTCCATTAAGCAAAGTAGATGCCTGGGGTGGGGAGGTGGCACCCTTTTTCCGGATCCCCAGTCAGTGGGGCAGGGGCTTCGGACACTGTCCCCACAGCTGGACTAGTGGCCCAGAGATCCTAGAAGGGACCCAGCCTTCCCGCGCTGCACCCAGACCTCCGGGGTGTGACCGCCAAGCTGTCCTGGCTCCCCTGCTCAGTGGCCTGATGGGGGTCTCAGTCCCGCACTCCCTCGTGGGGTCGGGGCACTAAAACAATCATTTTTTCAGGCCATGCTCCTTGATCCTAATTTAAAAGGCGGCCTGGCCGGACGCGGTGGCTCATATCTGTAGCTCCAGCACAGAGTTGGAGGCCAAGGCAGGCGGATCACCTGAGATAAGGAGTTTGAGGCCAGCCTGGCCAACATGGTGAGACCCCCGTCTCTACTAAAAATACAAAAATCACCCGGGTGTGGTGGCACGTGCCCGTAGTCCCAGCTACTTGGCAGGCTGAGGCAAGAGAATCGCTTGAACCCGGGAGGCGGAGGTTGCAGTAAGCCAAGATCATGCCACTGCACTCCAGCCTAGGCGACAGAGTGGGACTCTGTCTCAAAAAAAAAAAAAAATTAGCTGGGTATGATGGTGCAGTCTGTAATCCCAGCTACTCGGGAGGCTGAGGCAGGAGAATCGCTTGAACCCGGGAGGCGGAGGTTACAGTAAGCTGAGATCACGCCACTGTACTCCAGCCTGGGTGACACAGCAAGACTCTGAGACTCCATCTCAAAAAAAAAAAAAAAAAGGAGGCCTGGGAAGGATCCCCTCTGAGACATGGAAGACTTGCTTGACTCAAGGTGGGTTTTTTCCTTGAGTCCCTCAGTAGCCCTCAGGACAGTCCCTCAGGTGCCACCTGCCCTCCCCTGCAGGAGAGGTTTGTTCTGGGAGGAGAAGCCCAGACAGGCACGGGTGGCGGGAGGGCAGGTGGGCATCTGCCCCCAACAGGCCTCTCTGCTTTGGGAAGCCCAGGTGCCCTCGGGACCCTTGAGAAAGGAAAGGTGGCGGGGAGAGAGGAGGGCAGGATGAGTTTTTTTTTATTGACCACCTACTATATGCCATATGCTATGTAGATTTCTGACCACGACAGCGGCCTCCTAACAAAGGCCCAAGAAAGCTGACTTTAAAATTACATTTACATGCCCTTGAATAGCATATATTAATTTTACACAAAGGAGAATATGCCTTTAGGCTGTTTTCCTTTTTCTTTCTTTTCTGTGGCCAAAAAAAAAAAAAAAAAAAAAAAAAGTGGGAGGGGGGTTGATGGGCTTAGGACAGAAAGGAAGAGGTATGCCACCAAAATCACCTGAGAAGAGAAGGGGGGGCTGGGGGTGGGGGTGGCCTGAGAGAAGGACAGACCCTGGCCTCTCCCAGTGGATAAGGAAGAATCTTGCTCTAGCAACTTCAAGATGGTTTGCCTGGTCAAGGAGGGGAAGGGACAGGGCGAGTCCATGGGCCCTGCTCAGGGCTGGCTGCTGGGAAAGGAAGGTCTGTGTCAGTCATGGAATCCAGGAAATCTGCCAAGTTTAAGGCTCAAGGGGGATGGGGGAGCCACCTTTTCTAGGGCCACTATGGGTGGTCTTGGGGCCCTCAGAGGACTTGCTTCTTGGGCACCTGAGTTAGACCTGGCAGAACCAGCAGACACCTTAGGACCTAAGATGGGCCCTCCCTGCCACTCTCTGGGCAAGAGCCCCAAGCCCATATCTCCAGGGTCTGTGTGGAGGGCACTGCTGGGCCCCTGAGAAGTGCAGAAGGTCAGGCTTTCCTGCCCTGGCTTAGCAAAACACCCGGCCTCCATCTCCCCCATTGTTCCCTTGTCCCCACGAACATGCTAGCCCAGTTCTGCTCAGGAAAATCAGCCCCCGCAGCCCAGGTTCTTGCACCTTCCTGTCCTGAACTTCTTTGTCCCTGTCTACTCCTCTCCCCACTGTTCACAGCCCCCAACCTCCCAGGGGCCCACATTCAGCTCCTGAAATTCATTAAGTGTGGCAAGGAAAGGTCTCCACTCAAGAGATTTCAAGATGTCTGGGGACAGGCAGGTTTTCCAAATGACCCTGGAGGCCGGGTGCTTGGGACGCAGTGAGAGGGAGGGGACAGCAAGGGGAGGGCTGGGTTAGATCTGCTCAGGGACAGAGCTGTGAGCCAGTACCCAGCCTGGCAGCAGGTGGGCTGGGTGACAAGCCCTCGGCCTCAGCCAGTCTCTAGCACAAGAGAGCCCCGGGCCCCCTGGGAAATTCTGTGTGGACAGAGGGTGAGGTGAGAGTCCTGGTCTGGCCCTGGCTCTGCCGCTGGCTTGCTCAGAGCCCCCTCGGGACCTCAGCAGCCTCATCCTTAAAATGGACAAAACAAGGGCTGGGGCCAGGTGCAGTTGCTCACACCTGTAATCCCAGCACTTTGGGAGGCCGAGGCCGGCAGATCTTGAGGTCAGGAGTTCCAGACCAGCCTTATCAACATGATGAAACCCCATCTCTACTAAAAATACAAAAGATCAGCCAGGCATGATGGAGCGTGCCTGTAATCCCAGCTACTCGGGAGGCTGAGGCATGAGAATCGCTTGAACCCAGGAGGCGGAGGTTTTAGTGAGCCGAGATTGCACTATTGCACTCCAGCCTGGGCAACAGCACGAGACTCCATCTAAAAAAAAAAAACAAAAAAACAAAAAAACAAGGGCTGGCCTGTCTGCCTCCGGGTTTGTGACTAGGATCTCATGAGAGCTCTGTCTGAAAGGGGAATTTCCCCTGTCTTCTGTGAAATGAGGAATGGAGAGAAGCAGGGAAGGCAGGCAGTTCATGTCAGCTAAGGCTGTGGAGTACTCGCTATGTGTGGGCTCAGTACCAGGCACTCAGCACCCTCTCATTTAATTCTCCCAACAACCCCGCAAGCCAGGCATGATCAACAAGAGCACAACATCTGGCGAGTGGGCAAGCTGGCACGAGAATCCACAGCTCCCAATGCGAAGCCCCTGCCCTTTACCCAGTGCCACTCTGGGACAGATGTTCCCCTGAAGGACACCCTCTGGGGTGGGGAAAATGCCCTCACTGGAAGCCTGGAAGTTTAGTGCTTGGCCCCAGCTGGCTGAGTGGACTTAGGGAACTGACTTAACACCTCTGCCCTCCATGCCGTCCTTTGTCTGAGAGGAGGTTTACTCTCTGGGAGTCACTTTTATGATCCCAGCCCTGATCCTTTGTTGGGTTAGAAAAGGAATGAAAATGCAAATGGGCGTTAGACCTGGAGCCAGGGGCCAGGGCCCTGGCATGGGCCTCAGGACTATTGCCCTGCTTTTGAGCATCCCTACATGTGGCCTGGGCCTAGCCACCCCAGGAGACAGGCAGGAGCCTGTTACAAGCCCATGTGTCAGAAAACTAAGGTCAAGTGAAGAAACACGACGTCTCAGGGTCCAAGAGCAAATTAGAGGCAGAGCCAGGGTTGGAATCCAGGTCTTCCAGCTCTTAGCCCAGCTGCCCGGCTCAGGCCCCAGCTTGGAACAGAGGGGGAAGAACAGGAAAAAGGGGCTGTGGCCTTCTCTGAAAGCTCCAGGGGAGGACCAATGTCCTTGCCTTTGCCAGCTTCTAGAAGCACCCACATTCCTTGGCTTGTGGCTCCCTCCTCCATCTTCAAAGCCAGACATAATGCGTTGAGGCCTTCTCATGTTGCATTGCCCTGACACTGACTCTTCCATCTCCCTCTCCCACTTTTTTTTTTCTTTTTTTTTCTGAGATGGAGCCTTGCTCTGTTGCCCAGGCTGGAGTGCAGTGGTGTGATCTCAGCTCACTGCAACCTCCACCTCCCTGGTTCAAGTGATTCTCATGCCTCAGCCTCCCGAGTAGCTGGGATTACAGGCATGTGCCATCATACCTGGCTAATGTTTGTATTTTTAGTAGAGACGGGGTTTCGCCCTGTTGACCAAGCTGGTCTCAAACTCCTGACCTCATGTGATCCACCTGCCTCGGCCTCCAAAGTGCTGGGATTACAGGCATGAGCCACTGCACCCGGCCCTCCCTCTCCCGCTTCTAAGGATGCTTGTGATGACATTGGACACACCCTGATAATCCAGAATAATCCCCCCAACTCTAGGTCAGCTATTAGCAACCTTAATTCCATCTGCAACCTTAATTCCCCTTGCCATGTGGCCTGACAAATTCACAAGTTCCAGCAATTTGGACATGGACATCTTTCAGGTGCCACTATTCTGTCTATCATATGCCCCTCGTCCCAAAGGGTATATATTAGGTTGTTCTGACATTGCTATAAAGAAATACTTGGCCAGGGCCGGGTGCAGTGGCTCACGCCTGTAATCCCAGCGCTTTGGGAGGCCAAGGCGGGCAGATCACCAGGTCAGGAGATAGAGACCATCCTGGCGAACCCTGTGAAACCCCGTCTCTACTAAAAATACAGAAAAATTAGCCAGGCATGGTGGCAGGCGCCTGTAGTTCCAGCTACTCAGGAGGCTGAGGCAGGAGAATGGCATGAACCTGAGGGGTAGAGCTTGCAGTGAGCAGAGGTCACGCCACTGCACTCTGGCCTGGGCAACAGAGCAAGACTCTGTCATAAAAAAAAAAAAAAAAAAAGAAAGAAAGAAATACTTGGCCAGGCATGGTGGCTCATGCCTGTAATCCCAGCACTTTGGGAAGCCGAGGCAGGCAGATCACTTGAGGTCAGGAGTTCGAGACCAGCCTGGTCAACATGGTGAAACCCCGTCTCTACTAAAAATACAAAAATCAGCCAGGCATGATGGCAGACACCTGTAATCCCAGCTAGTCAGGAGGCTGAGGCAGGAGGATTGCTTGAAGCCAGGAGGCAGAGGTTGCAGTGAGCCGAGATCGCGCCATTGCACTCCAGCCTGGGTGACGGAGTGAAACTCCGTCTCAAAAACAAACAAACAAAAAAACACACAAAAAAACTTGAGACTGGGTGATTTCTAAAGAAAAGAGTTTTGATGGGCTCATAGTTCTGCAGGCTTTATAGGAAGCATGATGATGGCATCTGCTTGGCTTCCAGGGAGGCCTCAGGAAGTTTCCAATCATGATGGAAGGCAAAGGAAGAGCAGGCAGGTAGCAAAAGCAGGAACAAGAGAGTGAGAGTGTGCTCCCACACTTTGTGAGAGATGCTATGTGTCACTTTTAAATGACCAAATCTCATAAGAACTTACTAACACATGGACGGCACCAAGGGGATGGCGTTAAACCATTCACAAGAAATCCAGCCCAGTGATCCAAGCACCTCCCATGCAAAGGATTACAGTTCGACATGAGATTTGGGCAGAGACAAATATCAGGGGACTTCTAAAAACTGACATCAGGGGACTTCTAAAAAGGTGCATGTCTTTTACCTGCCGTGGGTTGAGATTTGTACCTGCCATCCTCCTCTGTTCCTCCCTCAAGTCTCTGTCCAGCCGCAGCCTCAGCCTTTGAGGATTTCCCCTGCATCCCACTTCCTGCCTCCTGAGCATGCCCCGGAAATGTTCCCTGGGGAGTGTCGGCTCCTGGTGGGAAGGCCCTGGTGCCCACCTTCCTGGTGCCTCTCTGTCCTTCTGTCCCTCCCACAAGGGGACCTATGGCCCTGCAGCTGCAGGGGGACAGGAGAACAGGCCCAGGGTGCTGGCCAGGCTCAGAGGGGGAGGCCCTCAGGGAAAGGGGAGTCTCCTTCCCCAGATGGATCCAGGGGGCTGCTGGCTGCTGGTGGGGGCAGCTGAGAAGGGCCCAGAAATGTCTATGGAATTGCTTCCCCTCCTCCCACGTCCTGAAGAGGTTTCCGTGTCCCGATGGCAGTGCCGGCTGGTAAGATGGGGAAGGTGAGCCAGGCTGTGTACATGGGCTGCTGGAGGGGCATTTTGCTGCTGTGTATTATTGTTTTATTCCCGGCACTGCTGGGGGTGGTGGGAGTGAACCCAGGCAAATGACTGAGCCAGGCTCTTCTGGGAACCGGCAGGAGGCCCTGAGTGTGTCCATGTCTCCCTGTGGTGCTGGGACAGCTGGGATTCGGGCTGGGATTCTGTCCTCACACTCTCGGACAGTCTGCTCTGGGCTGCCTGGGGTAGTCTTAGGTCGGGTCCAGCCCCCTTGCCTTTGCTCCTGTGGTGGGCAGCTTCTAAAATGGCTTCCTGGTATCTGGATCCTTGTAATCCCCTCCACTTCAGTGTGGGCTGGTTCTAGTGACTGGCTATTAACGGAGAGAACAGCGCAAATGCCTCCAAGATTTGGTTATGAAAGTTCGTCTCTTCGCTTGCCACACACTCTCTCGCTCTCTCCTCCTTCCTCTCTGGTGAGGCCAGCTGCCATCTTGGGAGCGTCCTGTGGAGAGGCCCACGTGGCAAGGAGCTGAGGGCAGCCTCTGGCCAATAGCCAGCATTGAATTGAAGCCCTCAGTCCACCAACCTGTGAGGAACTAGATTCTGTCAACAACAACCATGTGAGTGAGGCTGGAAGTGGATCCTTCCCCATCAAACCTTGAGATGACAGCAGCCGGACACCTTGATTGCAGTCTGTGAGAGAGCCTGAGCCTGAGGACCCCAGCAAGCCACTCACAGATTCCTGACCCATGGAAACAGAGAGACAATACGTGTTGTTTCAGCCGCTAAGATATGGGCTAACTTGTTATGCGCTGTAGATAACAAATGCACTCCTTCCTCCCTGACCTCTTGCCTCGGAAATACTGAGTCCCTTTGTCTTTGGCCTTCATTCATTCATCTGGCTCGCCCTGCCTCCCTGAGCCCCCTTCTCTCTCCTTTGTTGTCATCTCTTCCAGCCCCAGGTTGTAGCCTACCCCCGAACCTCTGGTCTCCACACTCCCCGGAGAGCCCATCCCTTCATGGCTGCAGTGTGAGTAGTGTCACACCGATGGCGCTGTTCCTCGAGTTATTCTCCACTCCATCCGCTCCTCTAAATTCAGTTACACTTCTCCTCTGGCCCCTGAATATACGTTTGATCTGGATGCTCCTAGAACAATGCAAATCAGTTGCTACGTCCCTCCTCATCTGTTTTCAGTCAGCAATAGATGTTCCCTTTGTGGTTTTTTGTTTGTTTGGAGATAAAGTCTTGCTCTGTCACCCAGGCTGGAGTGCAGTGGCGCAATCTTGGCTCACTGCAACCTCCGCCTCCCAGGTTCAAGTGATTCTCCTGTCTCAGCCTCCCGAGTAGCTGGGACTACAGGCACCCGCCACCATGCCCGGCTAATTTTTTTTTTTTTTTTTTTGTATTTTTAGTAGAGACGGGGTTTCACCATGTTGGCCAGGCTGGTGTCGAACTCCTGACTTCAGGTGATCCACCCACCTTGGCCTCCCAAAGTACTGGGATTACAGGCATGAGCCACTGCACCCGACCAGGTGTTCCCTTTGAAAGGTGGTTTATAGCTTCCCCAAACCCATTGCCAGAGCTGGGTGCAAATCTCCTGGCCTCCCTCCAATTCAGAGTCAGCTTCTTACACACGACTTTCAAGGCATCAGATTATCAATGACGTCAAGTCTCCATCTATCCCATTGAAGCTGCCTGGTCTGTTTCTCACCTGTCATCCCGTGTGACTCTGGCAAATGGACTGGAGCTGAAATGCCAGCTGTGCCGTATTATGCCTGTGCAGTTGCTTCACTCTCTGGCCTCAGTTTTCTAAGCTGTAGTTGGAAACTAGAAATCCTGCGGATGTCCTTCAACAGGTGAGTGTTTACATGCTGGCATAACCATACCATGAACTGTTACCCAGCAATACAGAGGGGTGAACTAGAGACACATGCAACAATCTAGATGAATCTCCAGAGGGTTATGCTTGGTGAAAAGAGCCAGTTCCAAAAGGCTATATGCTGAATGAGTTCGTTTCTTTCTTTCTTTTTTTTTTTTTTTTTTTTTTTTTTGAGATGGAGTCTCGCTCTGTTTCCTAGGCTAGAGTGCAATGGCACGATCTTGGCTCACTGCAACCTCTGCCTCCCAGGTTCAAGCGATTCTCCTGCCTCAGCCTCCTGAGTAGCTGGGTTTACAGGCGCCTGACGCCACACCTAGCTAATGTTTTTAGTTTTTAGTAGAGATGGGGCTTCACCATGTTGGCCAGGCTGGTCTCAAACTCCTCACCTCAAATGATCCACCCACCTCAGTCTCCTAAAGTACAGGGATTCCAGGCATGAGGCACTGTGCCCGGCCTTGAATGAGTTCTTTATTTTTTTTTTTTTTTTTTTGAGACAGAGTCTCACTCTGTTGCCCAGGCTGGAGTGCAGTGGCTTGATCTCGGCTCACTGCAAGCTCTGCCTACCGGGTTCACGCCATTCTCCTGCCTCAGCCTCCCAAGTAGCTGGGACTACAGGCACCCGCCACCACACCTGGCTAATTTTTTTTTTTGTATTTTTAGTAGAGACGGGGTTTCACCGTGTTAGCCAGGATGGTCTTGATCTCCTGACCTCATGATCCACCCACCTCAGCCTCCCAGAGTGCTGGGATTACAGGCATGAGCCACTGTGCCTGGCCGAATGAGTTCATTTCTATAACACTATTGAAATGATAAAATTATAGAAAAAGAGAATAGATTAGTCATTGTTCAGGGTTAAGGGGTGGCCAGCTGGAGGGTGGCATGAGGAATCCAGTGGTAATGGAAACGTTCACGTCACTGTCAGTATCTTGGTTGTGACAGCCCACTTCACTGTGAGATGGTATCATCAGGGGAAACTGAGTAAGGGTACATGGGATCTCTCTTTAGTGTTTCTCACAACTGCATGAAAATCTAAAATTATCTCCAGAAAATGTTTAACTTTAAAAATGACACCCCCTTTATTGAGTTATATGGAACTCAACTTATAAATTAGGGGGTACATTACCTAATAAAAGAATATGAATGAAAAAAAAAAACCACCACTGCTTTATACTCACTAAAACGTTTGTATCCGAAAGTACATGACCACAGGTTTCTAATCTTTCATCTTGAAACTAATGCACCCCACGGAAAGCTGGGTGGATGGTGAGATGTCTCGCTATGCTCCCTGAGACCATGCTCGGTGCAGATGAAGTGAGATTGGGTTCCATAGATGGCAGCTCCTTCCCTCTTCCCTCTGGAGAAGCAGCAGAAATGGGGGAGAACTTAGAGAGATGAAGGGAGAGTACAGAGTTAGGGGTGTATATGTATAAAGAGGTCATAAAATGTATAAAGAGGTCATAAAAATCAAGAAGAGAAAGACCACAGCCTGATAGATTAACAGTCAACATGCTAATGGTCCTTAGACACATGGAAAGATGCTCAATCCCCTCATAATCAGAGAAATGCGAAAGAAAACATACAGCGAGAACCCAATGCTCACCTATTACATGGGCAAAAATCCAAGAGTTTGACAACGAACTCAATGAACAAGGCTCTCTCACATATATTTCTGGTGGGAAGGCAAAATGCTATCTTCCTGGGGGTAATTTTTAATTTTGAAACAATCTCAAACTTACAGAAAATTTGCCAATATGGTACAAAGTACTTATTTTGAGGGGGAACCATTTGTGAATAAATTGCCAACAGGATACCCTGTTGCCCCCTCCCCGACAACTTTAGTATATATTTCTTTTTTTTTTCTTTTTTTGTTTGTTTTTTTGAGACGGAGTCTCACTCTGTCGCCAGGCTGGAGTGCAGTGGTGCGATCTTGGATCACTGCAACCTCTGCCTCCCGGGATCAAGCGATTCCCCTGCCTCAGCCTCCTGAGTAGCTGAGACTACAGGTGCCTGCCACCATGCCTGAATAATTTTTTGTATTTTAATAGAGAGGGGTTTCACCATGTTGACCAGGATGGTCTCGATCTCCTGACCTTGTGATCCACCTGCCTTGGCCCCCCAAAGTGCTGGGATTACAGGCGTGAGCCACTGTGCCCAGATTTTAGTATATATTTCTAACAGATAAGGATGTTGTTTTTCTTTTTGTTGTTGTTGTTTTTGATTTTGTTTTTGAGACAGGGTCTCACTCTGTTGCCCAGACTGGAGTGTAGTGGTGTGATCTTGGCTCACTGCAACATCCGCCTACCAGGTTCAAGTGATTCTCCTGCCTCAGCCTCCAGAGTACCTGGGATTACAGAAATGCGCCACCATGCACAGCTAATTTTTATATTTTTAGTAGAGATGGGGTTTCACCATGGTGGCCAGGCTGGTCTCGAACTCCTGACCTCAGGTGATCCACCCGTCTCGGCCTCCCAAAGTGCTGGGATTACAGGCATGAGCCACCGCGCCCAGCCTCAGGATGTTGGTTTTCATAACCACAGGATAGAGACATCAAAATCAGGAAAGCAACATTGATACATTACTACTATCTAATCCTCAGACCCCATTCAGTTTTCTCCGGTTGTTCCAATAATGTCCTTTATAGCAAATAAAATCCAGTTCAGAATTGCACATTTAGTTTTCCTATGTCTTTAGTTTCCATCAATACGTAACGGTTTCTCAACCTTTCTTTGACTTTCATGATCTTGACACTTTCAAAAAATGCAAGCCAGTTAATTTGTAAAACAGCTCTCATTTTGGGTTCGTCTGGTGTCTCCTCAAGGTCAGATTCAGGCATGCACCTTTGGCAGGAACATCACAGAAATGATGCCGTGTCCTTCTGACTGCATCTTGGTAGGTGGTGCACCATTTGGATTTGCCCAATTACTGACAACATTAACTTTTCTTTCAATCACTTGATTAAAGTGATGTGTTCCAGCCTTTTCCATTGTAAAGTTACTCTTTGTCGCTTTGTAATTAATAAGTATTTTGTGGGGAAGTACTTTGAGACCATGTAAACATCCCATTCCTCACTAAACTTGCTGTTTATTATCTAGTTATTTCTGTCAGTGTGGACTATGGGTTATAATCTATTAATATCTGTCTTAGTCCATTTGCATTGCTAGAAAGGAATACCTGAGACTGAGTAATTTATAAAGAAAAGAAGCTGATTTTGCTCACGGTTCTGCAGGCTGTACAAGAAGCATGTGGCTAGGCACGGTGGCTCATGCCTGTAATCCCAGCACTTTGGGAGGCCGAGGTGGGTGGATCACCGGAGGTCAGGAGTTCAAGACCAGCCTGGCCAACATGGTGAAACCCCGTCTCCACTAAAAATACAAAAATTAGCCAGGCATAATGACACATGCCTATAATCCCAGCTACTCAGGAGGCTGAGGTGGGAGAATCGCTTGAACCCAGGAGGTTGAGGTTGCAGTGAGCTGAGATCGCACCACTGCACTCCAGCCTGGGCAACACAGAGAGACTCCATTAAAAAAAAGAAGAAGAAGGAAGAAGAAGAAGAAGGAAGAAGAAAGAAGAAGAAGAATGGCACTGGCATCTGTTTCTGGTGAGGCCCTCAGGAAACTTCCACTCGTGGCGGAAGGGGAAGAAAAGCAGGCATGTCACATGATGAGACAGGAAGGAAGACAGAGACGAGGAAGTGCCAGGCTCTCTTTAATAATCAGCTCTCAAGCGAAGTAACAGAGTAGGAACTCACTCATTACCTTGAGGGGGGCATCAAGCTGTTCATGAGGGATCTGTCCCCATGACCCAAGCACCTCCCACTAGGCCCTGCCTCCAACACTGGGGATCAGATCTCAACATGAGATTGGGAGGGGAAAAATAGCCAAACTATCTGAATATCATTATTTATTTTGGTGCTCAAATTGTCCCATATTCCACCAGTGGCAGCCCCTTTTGGGACAAGGGACAAGTCTGCTTGTCCCTTGCTCGACCCAATTCTGGAATCTGCTATTTCTCCAGGCAGGTCCAGTGCCTTCCAGTAAAGACTGGTATTTAGAAACCAAGTTCTGGACACTAGTTTTATTTATGGCTATTGAGGTTTTATTGTGTCTAGGTGCTCTCAGGTGACAGAACAAGTGAATGTATATATTTCTGAGGTGTCTCCTGGGGGAAGGGGTTAAGTTAGCATCTAGAAGTTGGGGGACATTAGTAGAAGTTGCTGTGAGAAATCCGATAAGAGAGTAAACATAGTTGAATAAAATACGGTGAACGGGCACATATAAAACCATACAGAGTGAACTCGTATCTAGGATTTTCTCAGTGAATGAGGATAACGGCATTTTATGGGTTTACAAAGCACTTTAGTATCCACTTGATTTGATGTTCGCAATGTCTACGGGGCGCATGCGCAATGATCTACTCAGCAGCTTTGGGTCTTTGGGGGGCTGGCTGCTTGTCCACAGCATTCCCAGGAAGTGAGCTGGCTGGCAGCTGCCTGAGGTTGTAAGGAAGTGACATTGCATTCCCCAAACCTAGGGATTGCCCAACCTCTGAAGGAATCCCCAGGAAAACATGATCAGGCCAAGAGGAAGCTTGTCCTCCTCAAAAACGACTTCTTCCCCTCAGCCCTCAGGAGCAGCCACGGACCACAATGAACCAGGGAAATTCTCCCAGGGAGTCAGGCCAGGACCTGGCTCCACTGCCAAGATGTGAGCCCTGGCTGGGTGTCATGTAGGCCACGGACGGGTAGCCCCTGCATATCTTTCCCTTCTAGCTTCTTCTAAAGCCAGTCTTCATTGTGGATCATCTATTTTCTCTCCACCACTGTATGTATGGTGCTTTGGGGTGGTTGAGTTTACAATTTAACCACAGGGTACAGGATAAGAAGAAGCCACACTGAGACCCCATGGAGAGGCATGCACATTACTCAGAGATCTTGGTCTTAGAGCTGGCCACGACTTGGATTATCTTTTTCGCAAAAAGAGAGTAAATGCATTTTTAGTTGTGGATGGGGTGGGTTCTTTACATGAGCAGGAGCATTTTTAACAATATATTTTCTATTGAGATGAAATTCATATAATATTAAATTAACCACTTTAAATTGTACAATTCCACGGCATTTAGTGCATTCACAGTGCTGTGCAGTCAGTCACCAGCTCTGTCAAGTGCAGGAGCACTTTTGAAAGTTCACCCATGGGCAGGGTGCCGGGGCTCACGCCTGTAATCCCAGCACTTTGGGAAGCCGAGGCGGGCAGATCACAAGGTCAAAAGATCGAGAACAGCCTGGCCAACATGGTGAAACCCCGTCTCTACTAAAAATACAAAAATTAGCTGGTTGTGGCTGCGGGCGCCTGTAATCCCAGCTACTCAGGAGGCTGAGGCAGGAGAATCGCCTGAACTTGGGAGGCGGAGGTTGCAGTGAGCCGAGATCATGCCACTGCACTCTGGCCTGGCGACAGAGTGAGACTCCGTCTCAAAAAAAAAAAAAAGAAAAAAGAAAAAGAGAAAAAGAAAGGGCATCCATGGTGGGGAAAGGTACGCAAGGATGCTGCGTGGCCATTGGGTGGCGTGTGGTGTGTTTGCCCAGCACCCTTGCTTTGGTGAACAGCTTTGCCCTGCTTCACAGGGTGCTGGCAGGATCTGTTCATCCCAGTGCCACCTCTTGAACCCACTTACAGGAGTGGGCATGTAATCTGTGCTATCCCACTGGCCACAGAACCTGGTTCAGGTTGGACTTGTGACCAACGCCAGAACAACTGAAGTAGTCCCTGGAACTTTTCTGCTAGGGATGGCCCCTTGAGAGAGGGTGACATTGAAGAAAAACAAAAACAGAAACAAAAACCAGGGCAATTGTGTGTCTGAGGATCAGGGTTGGGAGTGAGGGGTTGTTAAAAGACCCAGAGCTTTATGTTGTGGAGGCATTAGGGGATTTCCTGAAGTCCTCCTTCCTTTCTTGAAGGAAAAGAAAATGATATTCTTCCACTGGGATTCTAAGCTGGAAGCATGTGAGCCTGAGGCTGCTGGTCACCATCTTCCAAGGCTGTGTGGAGTTTGTTTAAAGTAGGAGGGAAAGATGCCAAAATAGTGGGAAGCAGTCGTGAGCGATGGAAACAGGGGAAGAAAGAGAGAGAGCAGGGAGAGAGTGCACTCTGGAGCTGGCATTTGAACTAGGTTTTCCTAGTCCTAAATCCCCAACTCTGGGCTTCACAATTGTCTCAATTCTAAACAACAGAATCCCTCTGTTCAGACTAATTCAGGCTGGCATTCTGTTACTGTAACAGAGAGAATCTTGACTAATGTGACAGCCCTACCTGGAAGGCGGGTAGAAGGATCCCCATGTGTTACAGATGAAGAACCTACGGTGATGAGGTCCAGGACATAGTTCTCCTCGTAGGTGTCACATGGAGGGGATATTAAGATGACTGCAGTGGTGAGTCACTGTGGGGGTGGAAGTCGCTGAGCAGCTGGTAGGTGAGCCAGGTCTGGAAGTCAGGAGGGAGGATGGAAGGTCACCCACTGTGCCAAAGGCAGATGGGATGGTTTGAGAAGAGCATGGATGGAGAAGACACGTCTCTGTCAGGATGTTGGGGGCAAGGGTAGACCTACTGCCACTTTTCTCTTTTGAGTCAGGAGTGTAGGAGCTAAGCCTTCCGCTGGAGACCCTGGGTAGAGGATGTTAGAGGAGCATGTGACCTGTGAGGGGGCTGGGAGGGCCCCTGTGGTAGTCACTGGTGCTAACTCTATCTAGTTCTCCCCACTTTGAGGCCCATGGTAGCATTTACTTCCTGGTCCTTGTAAGTGAATGGAGCTGTGTGACTGCCTATAGTGACAAGTGCCTTTTGTCAATGGGACACCCTCTGGTACTCTCCTTGAGATAGTGGCTTTTCTGTCGACCAGGGTCCCTGAGTATTCAATGAGCAGAGCCCCCTACCTCTACCCCTCTGCAAACCTGCGATAGACATGTGACACGGGCAAGAGAAGGAACTTTCGCGGTTCGTTGGTAATCTACTGAAGAAATGTAATGTACAGTTGGACTATGCTCTATTTTTTTTATTGTGGTAAAATAGACATAACATGAAATTTATCATTTTAACCTTTTTTTTTTTGAGACGGAGTCTCACTCTGTTGCCCAGGCTGGAGTGCAGTGGTGCAATCTCGGCTCACTGCAAGCTCCACCTCCTGGGTTCAAGTGATTCTCCTGCTTCAGCCTCCCCAGTAGCTGGGACTACAGGCGCCTGCCTCCATGCCCAGCTAATTTTTGTATTTTTAGTAGAGATGGGGTTTCACCATGTTGGCCAGGATGGTCTCCATCTCTTGACCTTGTGATCCACCTGCCTTGGCCTCCCAAAGTGCTGGGATTACAGGTGTGAGCCACCGCGCCCGGCCTTTTTTTTTTTTTTTTGAAATGGAGTTTCACTCTTGTTGCCCAGGCTGCCGTGCAGTGGCATGATCTCGGCTCACTAAAATGTTCGCCTCCTGGGTTCAAGCGATTTTCCTGCCTCAGCCTCCTGAGTAGCTAGGATTACAGGGGCCTTCCACCACACCTGGCTAATTTTTGTATTTTTAGTAGAGACGGGGTTTCACCAGGTTGGCCAGGCTGGTCTTGAACTCCTGACCTCAGGTGATCCACCTGACTCAGCCTCCCAAAGTGCTGGAATTAAAGGTGTGAGCCATCACACCCGGACCTTTTAATCTTTTTTTTTGAGACAGAGTCTCGCTCTGTCGCCCAGGCTGGAGTGCAGTGGCATGATCTCGGCTCACTGCAACCTCTGCCTCCCAGGTTCAGGCGATTCTCCTGCCTCAGCCTCCCAAGTAGCTGGGACTACAGGCGCCCGCCACCACGCCCGGCTTTTTTTTTGTATTTTTAGTAGAGACGGGGTTTCACCGTGTTAGCCAGGATGGTCTCGATCTCCTGACCTCGTGATCCATCTGCCTTGGCCTCCCAAAGTGTTAGGATTACAGGAGTGAGCCACTGCGCCCGGCCTAATCATTTTTAAGTGTATAGTTCAGTGTCATAAGTACAACCACCACCGCCATCCATCTCCAGAACTTTTTCATCTTCCCAAACTGAAACTCTATCCCCGTTAAATACCAAGTCCCCATTCCCCCTCCCCGCAGCCCCTGGCACCCACCATTCCACTTCTGTCTCTATGAGTCTGACTACTCCAGGACCCTCATATGAGTGGAATCCTACAGTATTTATGCATTTGTGTCTGCCTCATTTCATTTAGCATAGTATCCTCAAGGTTCATGCATGTTGTTAACAGGTGTCAGGACTCCCTCCTTTTTAAGGCTGGATCATCTTCTATTGTGTGGATAGACTGCATTTTGCTTATTCATTCATCAGCTGATAACATCAGGTTGCCTCCACTTTTGGCTATTGTGAATAATGCTGCTATAAACATTGGTGTACAGATATCTACTCCAATCTCTGCTTTTGGCCGGGCATGGTGGCTCACGCCTGTAATCCCAGCACTTTGGGAGGCTGAGGCAGGTGGATCACCTGAGGTCAGGAGTTCAAGACCAGCCTGGCCACCATGGTGAAACCCCGTCTCTACTAAAAATTAAAAAATTAGCCAGGCATGGTGGTGGGCACCTGTAATCCCAGCTATTTGGGAGGCTGACACAGGAGAATCACTTGAACCCAGGAGGCACAGGTTGCAGTGAGCCGAGATCACGCCACTGCACTCTAGCCTGGACAATAAGAGGGAAACTCCATCTCAAAAGCAAAACAAAAGAAAACAACACAACAAAAAACAAACAAAAAAATTTCTGCTTTCAATTATTTTGACTGTACACCGGAAGTGGAACTGCTGGGTTATATGGTAATTCTATGTTTAATTTTTTTTGAGGTACTACCATACTGTTTTCCATAGAAACTTTGTGGTTTTGAGTCACTGAGATTTGGAGTTGTTTGTTACTGCAGGACAACCTAGCCTGTCCTGATACTGCCACATACCCTAGATAATCTAGGATCAGCCAGGATTCTGATGAGGCCACAGTGCGGCAGACACAAGTGAGGGGTGTAGAAGCCGAGAGGCTAAACCAACCTGAGTTAACCCAGTATGAGGTGCAGTGATGAGGGTTAGCTAGCACAGATATGCCTCCTCTTGGGACCAAAGACATTAAGGTCAGGGTCTGGAACCAACCCTGTAGCCAAACGGTTGTTTCTTAACAGACATAAACCCCCTAACACAGTCACCTTGGACCTCTTGACCCCAGCAACCCATACATCCAAGGTTACATACTTTACCATACTAAGTGACTTTGGTGGCTCCTAATAATGTCATCATAAATAGCCCTATTGAATAGAAATTTACATTTGCTCATCATGGCCCTGAGAATTTCAGCTTTTTTTTTTTTTTTTTTTTTTTGAGACAAAGTCTTGCTGTGTTACCCAGGCTGGAGTGCAGTAGCACGATATCAGCTCACTGCAACTTCCGCCACCCAGGTTCAAGCGATTCTCCTGCCTCAGCCTCCCGAGTAACTGGGTTTACAAGCATGCGCCATGACACCCAGCTAATTTTGTATTTTAAGTAGAGACGGGGTTTCACCATGTTAGCCAGGCTGGTCTTGAACTCCTGACCTCAAGTGATCCTCCCGCCTCGGCCTCCCAAAGTGCTGGGGTTACAGGCGTGAGCCACTGCACCCACTGAATTTCAGCTTCTTAAGAGCAACTATGTTTCAAAAGTGTGGTGTGGGCTGGGCACGATGGCTCATGCCTGTCATCCCAACACCTTGGGAGCCTGAGATAGGAGCATCACCTGAGCCCAGGAGTTCAAGACCAGCCTGATCAACATAGAGAGGCCCCTATCTCTACAAATAATAATAATAAATTAGCCAGGCATGGTGGTGTGCATCTATAGTCCCAGATACTCAGAAGGCTGAGGCAGGAGGATTGGTTGAGCCCAGAATGTCGAGGCTACAGTGAGCCATGATCACTCCACTGCACTCCAGTCTGGGCAACAGAGCGAGACTGTGTCTCAATAAAAGAAAAAAAAAAAAGATGTGATGTGGGGTGATTTCAGAGCCGGATGAACCTGGCTTTGAATCCTGACTCTGCCACTTCCCAACTGTATGGCTTTGACTAAGACTGAGCCTCAGTTTCTTCATCTGTAGCGTGAGGAGAGTACAAGCCATATCACAGGGCTAGTGAAGACTAGAGAAAATACCATGTCTGGTGCCTGGCACATAGTAGACACTCAGTAAACAGTCGCTGCTGTTTGGGGCCGTGTTATATGTAAGCCCTTGATGAAGGCAGAGGTATCTCAGTCATCCTTCTATAAACGGTCTTCTCCTTTGCCAAGCTGGGTGCGCCATTTAGAGTGTTCACGGATGCCCCTCCTGATGTAGAAAGCGAACAGCCCAGGAGGGTCACATGTTAATTCCACCAAGGTTTACTGAGAATCTCCTAGCACCAAGTGCTGGGCTACAGGGATGACAGACGCGGCCCCTGTCCTCACAGAGCACTGGGAGTCTCTGGGCCGGTGGGGACCATGGACAGCAGGGCCTATCATCAGTAGGGCGGGGTGGCCACTTGAGTGAGGGTGACACTGAAAACGGCCAGAACTATGGCCTAGAAGCTGGTCTCAGATATCGAGGCTCAGGGTGGGGGTTGGGGAGACGGAGGGACCTGGAAGCATTGGAGAACCTCCCGAAGGAAAACCTTCCCGTCTGTATGAAAGGTCAGCTCCCGGTCCCAGAGAACTTGGCAACTCGGTTCTGTGACGCTAAAAGGGTGGCGTTGGGGGGGCGGGTGCTGGGCTGCATGGGGAGAAGGGAAAAGTAGGATCCGCTTCACTGTGAAGTGAGTCCCACCACCAACTCCAGCAATCCCTGCCCACAAGTAGGATGGCGGGTCCCTGGGAAGGGAGCACGCCATGTCCTGTGCCAGTCAGGGAGCTCAGGGCACTGTGATATAGCTGAAGTGCTGAGTAGAATTCGGGGTGCAGAGCTGCGGGTGGCTGGTGGGGTGCTGGGGCGCGCAAGGAGGCTGGAGGCGGGGGTGGGGGGGTGCCCAGCCCCAAGTCCTACAGCGGCTGCTGGAGGAGTGAGATGAGCACATAGTGAGTGGCTGTGCTGGTGGAATTAGACAGAGGTGCCCCAAGTCAGGAACCTAGAGCCCTGAGCGCTCCATGGGGAAGGAGAACAGCCCCCACGGTGAAGGGGTGAGGGCGGTGTGTAGGCACACACAGAATCTTCCAGCTGGAAGAGACCTTCAATGTCATTTCATTCAACCTCCCACCTCATGAAATCTTTCAGTCTTCCAGTGCCCAACTGAGGACACCCAACTCTACTTGGACACCTCAAGGTACGGGGAACTCACTCCCTTCAAGGCAGCTCATCTCAGAGAGGCTTTGGAGCCTGCGGGACGGCCAGGAGGAGCCTGGCGCTCCGACCTTGGCCCTGTAGAGCAGAGTGGCCTCTACTCCGCGGCGGCACCTGGCTGGGGGTTGCGGCGCGGTTGGGCCAGCGCTGCTGTCCCCAGCCCCAGTGCTGAGGCAGGCAGAGCGCAGTGGGCTCTGGCGGAGGTCGGGAGAACTGCAGGGCGAAGGCCGCCGGGGGCTCCGCGGGCTGCGGGGGGAGGCACTTGACACCGGCCCGGGGAGAGGAGGGGCCGCTGTCCCTGCGGCCAGTGCTGGATGCGGGGACCCAGCGCAGAAGCAGCGCCAGGTAGCGGGGCGCCCAGCGTGGGGAGGGCTGCGGCGAGGCCCGGAGCTCGGCTACGACTCGAGGGGCTCTGAGTGGCCGGGAGCGCGGCCGAGGCGGGGCGCCCGGGGCCCGGCCCCCGGTCTGGGCGGTGCGGGGTCCAGACCTCCGCCAAGCGGCGTGCGGGGACCCCGGCGGGGCCGCAGAGGCCGGGAAGTCGCGCCGAGGGCGCTAGGACCGGCCGCGCGCCCAGGCCGCTCCCGCCGCGGCGCCCCGGGGCCCCCCAGTCGGCGCTGCCTCCCGGGCCGGCTCCGCAGCGCCGGGGCCGGGGCCAGCGCGGCCGCGGGGGGCGAGCGGCGGGCGGAGGCCTGGGCCCGCGGGCGGCCGGAGGGAGGGAAGGAGGAAGGCGGAGAGAAGGGGTGGGAGGGGGGGACCCGGCGGAGGAGGCGGAGAGAGGGAGCGCGACAGCGAGCGGAGGGAGGGAGCGAGCGAGCGAGGCAGGCAGGCGGGCCGGGAGGGAGGGAGGGCGCGCGGGCGGCGGCGGCGGCGAGAGCAGAGGACGAGCCGGGACGCGGCGCCGCGGCACCAGGGCGCGCAGCCGGGCCGGCCCGACCCCACCGGCCATACGGTAATGAGCGCCGCTGCTGGCGGCCCGGAAGGCCGGCCCGGAGGCGGCGGGGAGCCGGGGAGCCGGGCGGGGGGCGCCGCGGCTGGCAGTGCCCGGCTCGGGGCACGCTCCCGGACCCCTGCAACTCGGCGCCGGGCGCCCGTGGGGCCGGGACTGCAGGCGGGGACGGCGGGCCGGGCTGGCCGGGGCGGCGCGGGGGATTTGAGGGTTTGTTTATGTCCCCGCGGGCTCGGCAGGCGCCCCCTCCCGTCCCGCCCGCTCCCGGCGCGGACCCCCCTCCCCGCCCCCGCCCGGCTCCGGGCTCAAGTTCAAGTCTATACAATGCCGCGGGGGGCCCCTCCACCGCCGGCCTGCGCCGCGGTGCCCGGCTCGCCGCTGCCGCAGGGGCCCCGGCCGGGCCGCCCCCGCCTTCCGGGCTCTGCCCCAGCCCCGCGGCCCCGCCTGGAGCCCGCGGCCAGGGCGCCGGAGGGCGCGGACCCCGACCCAGAAGGATCGGCCCCCGCGGCGGCCCGGGGGAGCGGGGGAGGGGGCGGGGGCCGGGCCCCGCGCAGGCTCCGCGGCGGCGGCAGAAAATGGCAGCCTGGCACGACCCGGCCCCCCGCCCCTCCCCCCGGCGCCCGGCCCTCCTCGGCCCCGCGGGGCGGGGGACCCGGGAGGCCCCCGGGGGCGGGCCGAGGGGTGATGGCGGGGCCGGGCCGGGGAGCGCCGCGCCGCGATCCTCCTCCGGCCACCTGTGGCTGGGGGTGCGGGGCGCCGGCGGGGCCGGGAGGGGCGGCGGGGCCGGGGAGAGCGCCCGCCTTGGGGGCACACCTTCCCCCGGAGTGCCGGCGGCACGGAGAGGGGTGGTCGTGCCCGGCTCCTCCCTGTCCCCACCGCGGGCCGTGGGTGCCCGGGCGGCCGCGGTGGCGGCGCCGCAATGTGGGGGCGGGGCGGGGGCGGGCGAGGATCCCGGGCCCGGGCCCGGGCCGCGGGGGCCGGAAAACGCGGGGGTGGAAGTAGCGGGGCCGGGACCGGGAGCGGCGCAGGGGGGGTACGCCCGGGGTCGCCCCTCCAGCACCCCCGCGCACACTCCCACGCACGCGGACACACTCACGCACACGCACCCCGCCGGGCCGGTGCAGACGTGTCCTTGAAAGCTTCGCATCTGCACAGTGAAGGACGAGGCCTCGCCGCGGCTGCGGAGCGGGGTCTTCGGCCCCACGTCCCCGCACCCCGGGAGACCTCGAGCTTCGGAGCCGCAGGCGGCGGCTGTCCGTGTCCCGCCCTCACCCCAGTTCCCCTCCCCCAGGCCGCCCTGCCTTCCCTCCCCTTCGGCGCGGACCGGGCTGGCGCGGGTCCAGGGCCCGCCCCTGGCCTCCCCCAGCCCCTCATCGCTGGGGCCCGCGGCCCTGGGGCTGCCAAACTGCTTTTCGCTTTCCTGAAGCCTCCCTTCTTGGGGGCACCCTCTCCCACCCCAGCGCCCCTCTGCCATTTCTCCCCCTCTCCTCATCCCCTCCGTCCTGGCACCCTCTCTCCGCTGCACGGCCAGTTGAGGAGGTGTTGGCGCCCTGGGCGGGGAGCAGTGCCCTCTGGTTCCCAGGGGCTGCCTCCCCCGGCTCCTGAGGGGAGCCCCCTGCGGCTGCACCTTGACCCAACATGGCGTCTGGCACCCAGCAGGGCAGCTCTGGCCTGCGGCAGGCGGGAGGGTGGGCAGGGCCGAGCCCCAGGGCCGCGCAGCTACCCCCCCTCCAAACCAGCGGGGACAGAAGCCTTGGGGAGAAGCGCTGTCCGCCCTGTGACCCAACTTGCCCCTCACTGCCGTGCCCAGAGACTGCCATCAGCATCCCTGAGGGCCTGCTCAGTCTTCATGTTTCACCCTAGGCTGCCAGCGGCTGAACCCGCCTCCTGGGCGGGCGGCTACGAAGGGATCCTGGGATCAGGTGCTGCTCCAGTGTCGCCTCCTCCCTCGCGGGCAGATGTGACAGCTGCAGCCAGGGGAGCTATTCGCCTTGCTATTGCCTGGGTGTTAGGACTGGCCTGTGGGATTTGGGGGGCCAGGCATCCCGGGGACCCTCTTTGGTTGGCTAGCAGGGGCCATCTCCAGGTAGTTTTCTGAGCTGCCTGCCTTTGGAGAGTTGGGTTGTAGGGAGTTCCTGCTGGGTTTCTGGGGCAAAATGGTCCCCCTCTGCCTCCAGGTTCTACCGAGGCCCTGCTTGGGCTGTGACAGGTGGCTCTGTCAAGGTGGGAGTCTGTGTGTGCACATGTGCTGGCTCCAGGCGAGGGACCAGGCTGGCCTGTGCAGCAGCTCTGGCACCTGCCTGCCTCCCTGGTGGGTCCCCCTCCTCTGTGCAGCTCCTCCCCAGATAAGCAGCTGCGGATTCAGGCCGACCAAACTTCCCTCGTTACCCCACCCAGGCACCAGTGCCTTCCATAGGAGACTGACCCTAAGAAAGGTGAATTCCTTCTAGACTCAAGGAGTGGACTGGTCCACAGGGCTGCCCTCTGAGTCCTTCCTGGAGAAGCCTAGGAAAGGACGCCAGCAGCCATCTGTCAGGGTGTCTGCGGACAGGATTCCTCTGTGGGGTGGGGGTTGGACTAGAGCCGGAAGGTCCATTCCAGCTTTGACATTCTATGGCTCTGATTCTAGTGGTGGAATTTCAGGCCTAGCAATGGGGACAGGGTGGTCTGTTTTTCGGCACATGGCAGTAATAGGGGAAGGCTTCCAAGGAGAAGGAGATATGAGAGAGATCAGGGCGCCCAGCGAGTTGGGCCTTGGGAAGGAGAGGCAGTGTGAGGAGGGTCCCTGCAAGAGACGGGTTGGTCACGTCCGACTCTGCAGAGGGTGTAAAAAGTACAGCCTCCTTTAAGCCTCGGCACGTGTGTATCCTGTAGGTTTGTGTATAAATCCCTGTGTGTGGATAATTTCTGAGGTTTCCTTTTCAAGTCCAATTCACAGTAAGCTCCTCAGTCCCTTATGGATGTTTTACTATCGCTTTCACACCCACCTCTGCCAGTGGTTCTCAAAAAGCTAGGAAGACAGGACAAACGGTAAAATCCTTGTCCAGGGTCACCGGCAGGAAGAAGTGGAGCCAGGCCTGCACTCGGGGGAAGATGCCCCATGCTATACCTCTTACCTGGGCTGCTGCATGTGTCTGTCCCCGCTCTCAGTTTGTGATCTCCAGGAAACAGGGGCCTTGCCTCCCTGGGTCCCCATTGGACAAGCGGTGAGGCCTCCGAGGGTGTCTGCTGAGCGAGGGGAGCGCACTGCCCTCCAGTCCTCTCCCCGAGGCAGCGAGGCAGGTTAGTGCTGGGCTCCCTTCCCCCTGCTGCTGTGCGCCGCTGCCCAGCGGCCACTGCCTACTTACAGGCCAGCTCCTCAGGGTCACACCTCCCTGAAAGACCCAAGTTCTTTCCCAGCAAGAGCCAGACTCCCCCAAGGCTTCTCTTTTTGGGATCCAGGTAGAAAGAGGACTCTAATGGGTGAGTTAAAACAGACCACCCTCTCCCCATCTTTGGGCCCGAAATGTCAGCATTAGAACCCAAACCTTAGAATTGCAGTCTGAAAGAGGAGTTTAAGCTCTGAGAGCTCTTAGTGCTGGGTACGGGACTGTTTGTGGGAGGTGGTGCCCAGTTCTTCCCAGGGTTGTCCATGCTACCCAGAGCCTGAGGCCTGGAGGGCCATTCACGTGCCAGTCACATGCCTCTCCCAGGGTACTTCCTGCTGCCTCCAACTTGCTGGCCTGGGGTCCTGGACTTGGTGCTCGTATCCTCCCCACCCCGTGCCCCACTGGGAGTTGAGTGTGTCTCTGGCCTCCAGCAGGTAGGGCCAGAGCATCTACCCCAATGCCATTCCCCATGCTGCGGCCCTCGGGGAATAGCTTCTACTTTTGTTTGAATATTAGTATGTGAGCAGAGAGCCCGTCAGAAGCCCACCTGGCCTGAGGCTGGGTTTCTGCAGGGACTTTGCTGTTCCTGAGCAGGGCTTTAATGGTCTACTAAAGGTGCCAGATCCCTTTCCACTTTAATTTTGAGGGCTCATTTTCAATCATTTCTCTCTGACGATTTTTCCCTAAGAACATGACCAAATCTGAGATCCATGAAGTGTCAGCCTGAGATTTATGTCTGTATCCGAGCCTGCCTCCACTTGGCTAAGTGTGTGGGCAAGACGAGGTTCAGTGCACATGTGTCTGTGCATGATGTGTGTGTACGTGGTGTGCCGCCACCTGTGGATGGGTAGGACTTGCTTCCACATGAGCCAGTGTCAAGGCAGCTTGAGGCCCTCGAGTCACAGGGAGCTGCACTCTGACACCTCCCAGCGGCAGGAACTTGGGCAACAACTCGATTCCCTGGGCCTCAGTTTCCTCACCTGTAACATGGGAGTGTGCGTGGATTCTGCTTACAGGTGGTTGTGAGGATGGAGTGAGATCATGTGCGTTACAGCCTTAGAGGAGCGGGAGCCCTCCTGTTAGCTGTGTCTGTTTTCATCATTTGGGTGGCTCACGTGGACTAGCACTGCAGGAAGTGCTCTAAGAAGCCTCGTCCACCTTCCTGTGTCTTTTGCAGAATCTTGGTCAGATGAGGAAAGTGCCGATTCTGATTAAAAATCCTGGGAGGTGGGAGGCTTCTCAGCGACACTTAGCAATCTGTTGAGTTGAACAAATCTCGTGTCAACAGGTTGTTTTGCTTCCACCTGAAATCCCTCCCGCTGTAGTTTCAGCTCGTTATTCTCATCCTGTCTTGAGTGCAGCAGCACTTTCCCACCGTATTCGCTTCCATTTTCCAGAGATGTGCTGAGCATTTCCTGTAAGCCATGCCCTGTGCTGGCTTTGAGGGGACACGGTGTGTTTAGGATGCGCCCAGCTAACGAAGAACTGCAGAGTGGGACTGGGGTCACTGGAGAGGGAGAAATAAAGTGCTCAAAGGAGAGTGAGGTCACAACCAACTAAGGTCATCAGGGAAGGCTTCTTGAAGGAGGTGGCATCTCAGAAGCGCCCCAGAGCACAGAAGTGGGGCTTCAGGGGCAGGACATCATTGTGGGTGGCTGTAGTGCCCGGGAGGTGGACTGGGGCCTGGGTTGTGCTGGAGGCCAGGCTGAGGCCCTGCCTTGGTTTGGGGAGGAGATCCCTGCACTCCGGAACTCCTCTGTGGCCCACGGAGGATCGCTCTGAACTGCCTCAGCGTGGCGGCCAGTGGGGGTAGGGGTGGAGAGAGGACAGCAGGGAGGGAGGGGAAGGGGCCAAATGAGCTCATTTGGTGTCGGATCCTGATTCTTTCTATTCCATAGACCAGAGCTTAAGAGCTCAGACTTGGAGAGCAACAGAACAGGGTTTAAATTACACTGACCCCAGGGGGTTGTGACGATTAAGGGGGAGGCCAGGGTCAGGTCTGGTCTGCGAGCGAGTGATAGCAGTCATGGTTGAGGATGTGGCAGGTGGAGAAGGGTCCCTTTTCTGGCCTCCCAGAGGTCTCCATGTCCCCCCTTGCCCACTCCATCAGGCTGAGGCGCCCCAGCATCCAGAACATTCCTGCAAGGGGCTGCCAGTGCCAGGGAAATGGGGGTGAAGACGTCAGGTTCCTGTCTCTGCAGCCTGACCCTGTCCCCCAACACACACGCTGGGCAGAACCGAGCCACCAACCCAGAGGGGAGGTGCCCTGCAGACGGCCCAGGCCCCCAGGCATGAGTGCAGGTGCCTGGCAGCCCCCTGCAAGAACAGCTGGTGGGCAGGGCCTTCTGGGCCAAATCTCCCTTGCTGATCACATCACAGGCCACCAACCTGTCTGGAGGACAGCAAGGGTGCTTGGTGGGCAGTGGAGGTGGGGGTAAGGGAGGTGCAGACGCCTGGGGCTTTCCTAGCTAAATCCCAGTATGGAGTGGTTTGTTTTTTTTTTTCAGCAGCAGCTCTATGTTGCCTACTCCTGTCCTACTGTGGTCCTCTCTGACCCTTAAAGGCTGCCCAGCCTTATTTAGATATATGACCAGGTTCCTATTTTCTCTTTCCTGTGGTCACGGCCCTGCTCACCACCATCCCTATTGATCTTTCCTCTCTGCTTCTGTTTCAAATGTCAAGGTCATTTTTAATTCTGAGCCAGTTATTAGCTGCCCCGTCTGAGTGCACAGAGGGGACGGAGGACCATCTCTTATAGCCAGTAACCGGAGAGCTGGAACTTGGGTCTCCTGACTCCTAGTCTAATGCTCTTCTTACTATAATGAAAGGGGAGGGGGGCTCAGTGCAGATGTTCGAGATCTGATAGATCAGCTGGGTCATGGGTTCCAGTGATCCTTCCTTGAAAAGGTAAAAAGATGCTTAGAGATTATGGGGTGTGGGTTAGATTTGCATCTCACTAAGCTGTTGAGTGTGGGCTGTGTCCTGGGGAATACTTGGGAACGGCCATGGTCTGGGGGCAGGAGGCCTTCGGAGTGTCCCTCCCCCGCCACTCCCTGGAGGACCCCGGGAGACACAGGCGAGTTCGCCCCTGCCCCTGCCAAGCCAGTGGGATTCCCCAGCACCCCAGTGAGCAGAACCTGTTTGGAAAGAGGCTTCTGGAAGGCCTGCACGATTACTTGTATAGGTTCCCGAAGTGATAAATAAATGCATGGGTAAAGGGGAATCCACTTAGATTCCCTAAAAGCCTTTGAAACAAGGTGGTAGGCGAGTCTGTTCTGATGTGTTAGATCCCCATGCAGTAGTGTTGTGGTTAAAAAAAAAAAGTTCATAGTGTAATCTCAGTTTTGTGAAATTCTTTAAAATCGATACAAATATACACATGTTTAGGTTTGCACATGCATGGAAAAGTTGTTCTGGAAAGATACACACAAACCTGTCAACAAGTTTTTGCTTTTTAACTTTGTACACTTTCGTTTTCTTTGAAAAAATGTAAATGAACTTGAGTTACTTTCTTAATGACAACAACAAAAATAAAACTACACTTTTTAAAAGCCTGTGGATGAGAAAGTAGAAAAAAGAATTAAGTCACCTAAGGCTGAGGGATGGACTCTTTTTTATAATGGATAAGAAACTGGTTTAGAGACTGACAGCAAGGGGTAAGCTTACTCAGGTACGTGTCTTTTCCGGAAAGGTTGCAGGGAGAAATATCGCAGATATTAAGGCCTCTGAGCAAAGGCCTAGGCTGGTAGGGATTAGGTGAGAGCAGAAAATAGGCCGCTGACTGCATGCACCCTGGCCCACGCCAGGGACAGGGGACAAAGTTAGCTTTATAGGATGGCGACTTGAAACTCATTTCTGACCCAAAGTGGAGAACAAATCACTGAGGATCTTCCCCCAAAAGCATCAGTCTGATGGGCTGTTGTGGCCCAAATGGTTCCTGGGGAACTGGAGGTATAACTGGGGCCCGGCCCGGGTATGGAGCTCAGGTGACCCAGCCCTGGCATAGTGAGAGCCTCTTGGGAGGCCACACCCAAGGGAGACAAAGTGGGGCTTCAGGAGGCCCCACGAAGGGGTAGAAGGGGTGTCTAGGAACTTGCTTGGCACGTGGGTTCAACTCTGATCTAGGGGTCCCTGAGCAGGTGGTGATCACCCAGATGATGGGGTGGAGAGGTGAGGTGGGGGCAAATACAAGTTCCTCTGTCTGCAGTCGTCTTGCTACCCCAGGAAGCTCAGGGCTGGTTGCTTAGCAACAGCACTTACCACCCTCTTCCACCTTACCCTCCCGCACCCCACCCATGGGTGCCTCTTGGGGCTTCCCTTCCCCCGAGGCTGCCCCTGTTCAATAGGACATGGGAAGGGTCTGTGCACTTTTTTGACCCTGCCCCTGGAATAAGGCAGGAACAGACATAAAAGGACCTATGACTTGGAGGCAAGCACAGAACTGGCCCCTCTACAAACCAGCTGTTTAATCCAAGGCTGGTAGGGGACAGATGTGCAGGGCAAAAAAGGCGTTCGGGAGTCAGGCCGACCTGGAGGACTGTCTCAGCCCCATTTGTGCTCAGTTGCTGCTGGCCCCAAACCACCTGGAGCTGCAGGTTTTTCATCTGTAAATCGGGGATAAGAATAGCAGTCTCATCTTACAGGGGTTGCCTGAATGACGTGCAATATTTTGTGAAACAGCTAGCACTATGCCTGGCACAGAGAAGGTGCTCAGGAGGCATGAGCTGCTTTTCTTTACGTGGGGGTTGTTCCAGGGCTGCCTGGTTAGGGTGACCCCCACAAAGCCCTGCTGCTCTGTAAGGCCCTGCTGCTCTGTAAGACCCTGCAAGTGGCCAGGTGCAGTGGCTCACGCCTGTAATCCCAGCGCTTTGGGAGGCCGAGGCGGGTGGATCATCTGAGGTGAGGAGTTCGAGACCAGCCTGGCCAACATGGTGAAACCACCTCTCTACTAAAAATACAAAAATTTAGCTGGGTGTGATGGTGCACGCCTGTAATCCCAGCTACTCCGGAGGCTGAGGCAGGAGAATCACTTGAACCCGGGAGGTGGAGGTTGCAGTGAGCCGAGATCGCGCCACTGCACTCCAGCCTGGGCGACAGAGTGAGACTTCGTCTCAAAAGAAAAAAAAAAAAAAGACCTGCAAGTGTGGCCTGTCCTCCCCATGGCCCCTCACGGTGAGGGGAAGAGATAATCAAGTTGAGAATGACCCCCAAGCCCATGGTGGACTCTGGGCTGGGAGTCAGGGGCCACAGGGGAGTGGCAGGGATAGAGAAAGATGTCTCTGTCCTCCTTAGCTTCCGTTATCTGACCCAGGTCCCTTTTTCCAGCTGCCAATAAGTTGTCCCTTTTTCTCTTAGCCTTTCTGCACCTCCACTTCTTCCTGTGAAGCCAGGATTTGCCTGTACCTTTTTTGATCTCTTCAGAGTCCCCTGTCCATGTGGGGACCCAGTAGCCTGCTCAAGGCCTGGGCCCTCTTTCCCTCCCTGCCCACTGGTCTCTTTGGAGCTAAGCGGAGAGTGGCCTTTGCTGGGTTCTGGCTCTGCCCCACGGCCTGGAGGCAGGGGAGGGTCTAGACCACAGCCCGGCCTGGCAGCTGGCACGCAGCAAGGGCTCCTAATGGTTTTATTACCAGCAACAATGTGGTGCTTGTTGCCATCCACGCACAGGCTGGTGGTTCCCAGCCCAACTGGTGGTGGCCTGAGGGCCCTGCCTGGTACTGGAAGCTCAGCTGGGAAGCCCAGTGGGGCTGGGCAGTCAGTCACCTCTGCGTTTTCTTCTGTCAACACCCTGCCAGCAGCCTGGAATCAGAGGGAGCCAGGGCACGGCATGGCGAGATGCTGGCCCCCGAGTTGGCAGGCCTGGCAGCACTTGAGTTTTCTTTCCAGAGGTCCCTGCCTCAGATCCACAAATGATGTTCATCCATTCATCTAAGAGACCTACTGTGTGCCAGACACAGGCTGCATAGATGAAGGGGGTCACACTCATCTCAATGACCCTGCAGCTTAGGTGGGGTCTGGCAGGGCGGAAGGACCCCTGGCACACCATGTCCAGGGATTACCAGGGCTCAGAGAAGGAAGTCGGATTCAGGGGGAGAGAAGATCTGGAAGGGCTTTCTAAAGGAGGTGACGCTTGAGCTGAGTCTCGAAGCGGAGGGAGCAGTTAGCTAGGTGGACGACGGCACTTTCTGGCCCCATGTGGCTGCAGTGTAGGGAACGATGGGATACGAAGCCAGGGGCCTGGGCCGGGGGACATGGAAGGCGGGATGTTATGAACGGACGTTGGGCTTGGGATTTATATTTGAGAAGGATCATTCTAGGGCATCGAGGACGAGAGCTCGGGCAATAGGGTTTAGGGGCAGGGAGCCCGGGTGGAAGGCTGGCACAGAAGTCCGGGGCAGCAATGTGGGCCTGGACAGGGTGTGCGTGGTGTGACATTTAGGAAGTGCAGTCAGTAGGAACAGGCGGGATAAAAGCAATGAGGGGAGTTGGGGTGGCTGTCTGGTTTCTAGCTCAGCCAACTGTGTGGGTGGGGATGCCCTTCATGGAGGGGGCATGGGTTGGGGGGAGTCGGAGAGAGCAGGAGGTGCCTCCCACATGGAGCTGGGTTGTAGCTGGGGCTTGAGGGCGGGTGGGATTTCCCCAGGGGGAGGCTGAGCCAGGCCAGGCTTGCAGAAGGAGGCTGGAGCCTGAGTCATAAGGCCTGGAGGCGGGGTGCCTTGTGCGATGGATGAGAAAGGCAGGTGCATTTCAGTCTGTAACTGGTACGACCCCTGCAGATGTTTGAAGGAAGATTTTGAGGAAGGTGCTCGCACCCTTGCATTGGGAATGCTGATGAGTTAGCGCCTCTACTTCACAGTGATTTCCCCAAAAGATGAGCTGCAAGGCCTAGACCCTGGCCCTCCACCCAGGACCTGCGGCGAGCATCATCACCGTCTGAGAATCTTTGGGTGGGCTGGAAGTTGATGTCAAGCTGTCCAGCCTTTCCGTCACTCTCCATTCAGAGGCAGGTCTGCGGAGAGAGATAGGAGGGACAAGCTGGGGACAGCATTTTTGGAAAGCAAACAGAAAAGAAGCAAAAACTGTTCCTCTAAAATAGAAAGGAGGCTTATGTGTGTTATGTGAAGGATAATGTGGAAGGCTATTTCCAAAGAATTTCTCAAAAAATGACGTGAGCCATGTCAGCATCATTGAATTTAGATAGAGGCCAGGAGCAGTGTGGCATCGTGCTGGGGCCACCAGGCTGGGGACTGGACAGATGATGGTTTCACCTCACCCCTGCCACCTCCTTGCTGCGTGTCATTGGAAGATCACTCAACCTTTCTTAGGCTCAGTTTTACCATCTGTAAAATGGACATAACTTCACAGGCTGGTGTTGTTTGTTTTGAGCATTGCTTCTTGGACTAAACCTGGATATTTTTTCCTTCCCTCCCTCGCTTCTGCACTTCCTCTGGTTCTTTGCCTCCCAAGAAGCCTGTTTCCTCCTGTTCCCTCCAAAACTCCAAGTTTTGAGTTCCCCCTTCCTGGGAAGGTCCATTCGTCATGTTCTATTGACTCTCTTGTTCCCAATTATTCCCTGCAAACCTGGTTCACCCAGTGTATTTGAAGAGCATCTACTGAGCTAAATGGGAGTTATTGGGGGTCAGTTCCTGTTTTCTTTTTAATAAGGGGAGGGAGGGTCTGTGCAGAGCTGTCCGGGAGAGCAGAGGGCATGGGGGACAGGGGGGATGTTGCAGGACCCAGTGGGACCACAGCTGGGACCTTGCCCTGTAGCTGGCTCAGTGTGCCAGGGGATAGGGGCACAGAGCCCTGGTGGGTCTGGGAGATGAGCTTGGGAAGGACTTGGCCTGGACATGGGCTAGGCTGCCCTGCTTTCCGAGCCAGACCTCAGGAGATGGCAGAGAGGGCCGCTTCCTCTGTGAGGGCCGTACATGATGGCCCTTGGGCTGTATGGTGGCCTTGTGACATGCAGCCACACCCCTGGGGAGACCTTTGAAGCATCTCTGCATTCTGGAGGATCTGCTGGGAAGATGGCTTCGCAGCGGGGCTCTTGTTGATGCTGCCAAGAAGGCCGGGTGGGAGTCGGGCTGTCTCTGGCTGGGGGTGGGGTGGGGGCTGCGGTCCATCCGAGTGTGGAAATCCACGTTTCTCTGGTTTGTGCAGACCTGTGCAAGCAGCCATGCTGCAGGACTGGCCCCCTGGAAGTGGGGCATACATGAACTCAGGGTGTGGCGTTGTAATCAAATGAAATGTACAGCATAATTAATCTGGCATACCCTTAATGATATGCATAATTGTGCTGCATGGTAATTAGGTGTAAATGGTAAGCAGTTCACATAAATGTTTTTGTAATTGGTATTAATTTTGCAGAGGCAAACCAAGTTTATGTGGTTTTTCTCTTCTTGCTCTGTTAGTTTTCTAGTACAGGCATTTCCAAGCTTTTGGAGGAATTCTATTGCAAATGTTTGTTTATAGGGCAATGTTTTGTGTTTTCTCTCAGAACAATGTTATGAATGGTTATGAGGTTCCCAAGCTGGTTTCCAAATGCCTCTTTGGCCCATACAGTAGGTGAAATGTGCAACGCGTGTGCCTGTGTCGGAAGGCCCGCCCAGCATCCTCTGGCTCCAGGTGCCCCAGCGTGTGCAGCATGAGGGGGGCTGTGTGCGTGTGTGAACCTGTGCGCCTGGGTCATCTCTGCATTTGTCTAGGTATATCTCTGTGTGTGCATCTATGTGTGTTTGTATCTGTGTGTCTGTGTGTGTGTGTGTGTGTGTGTGTGTGTGTGTGTGTGTGGGGTCTGCATGACTGTGAGAGACTCCTGAGGCCACAGTGGCAGGTAGACATTCTCTGGTAAATACATTCCCCATTCTAGTGGCACGGGGCCTGGGCTGGAGACTTAGGGGCATCAGCTGGGAGGGGGAGCCTGGCACAGCAGCCGTTCCTAGGAGTGAGCACAAGCCACTCTGAAGTGTGGTCTGAAGCCAGAGTCTAGGTTTCCTAAGAACATATGGCTTGCCTTTCTTTCTGATCAAGCACATAATAATTTTTAAATGATCATTTATTGAGTACCTGCCACGTGCCAGGCCCTATGTTAAACACTTGACTCAGATTCCCTCCTATCTTAAAATAGACTTATGAAATAGGGACTCTTTCTCACCCCGCTTTACAACTTGGGAAACTGAGGCCCGAATCTCTCAGTGACAGAGCCAGGGTTTGAGGCAGGGACTGCTGGAGGCAGGGCCCATGGTTCTGAGATGTGCTGCTCAGAACCCTGGGCTCTTCTCCCTCCCTCGGCCCCCTCCACAAATGGTTTGTTTTTGTTGGGACAGACGATGAGGAGAAAGGCGGCCCTGTGGGAAATCTGAGAGCAGCGAGCTCCCTTCCTGCTGAATTGGTTGGGGTGGTGGGGGACGAGCTCCAACAGCCGCTCCCAAGCCCTGAAGACCCTTTGGGGGACCTCCTGGTTTTGACCCAAGAGGGAGCTGGTTTAGGAAGTGGGGTTGGGGGACTGTGGCCATGGACGGTGTGGGGAGAGGGTGGTCACAGGCCAGACAAGGACTCAGCCCCCCTGATTCCTGTGGTTCACTGATAGCCTAGGCCCTCACCAACCCCTTCACCTTGGGGATCTGGGGCAGGTGAGCCTGCAGACCCACAGCAGGTGTATGTTCTGCCCTCGGAGCTCCTGCAAACAGCCTTTCCACTGACGCAGTGCCTTGGGGGCTCTGCCAAGCGACCCCTAGAATGGGGATTGTGGGGGGTCGCTCTAGGCACCGCAGCACTGTGCTGGGGATGTTGCAGCTGCCTGGGAGTGACTTCACACAGTCCTCTCTGCCTCCAGGGTCACCCGGAACGGGGTTGCGGGGGACAAGCTGTGGGCGGGGGGGACGGGCAGCAAGATACAACGCATGAACTCTGACCTCGTCTCTTTGAGAAATCAGACACATCTATATACGCATGGAACACTCAATGACCCCTGGGTGGGTGGTCGAGGAGAAGGGGACGGTGTTTTGGGGGAGGAGAGATGTTGGGTTGAAGGACTGGGAGAGAGGAGCTGAGTGGGCCCTGTGGGAGAGGGTGGGAGCCAGGGGTGTCATTCCGGGACAGCAGCCGGGCCTGGAATGATGCAGCTGGGAGAGGTGGGGGCACGGCCAGAGCAGTGGGCGGAGGCTGCGTTGTAGCCAGCCCTGGTGAGACCAGGCCAGAGCGTATATTTTACCACGTGTGCAAATCTTTGGCATCACCGGATTTTTAAAAATAATAGCTTTAAGATATAATTCACATTCCATACAGTTCACCCATATAAGTGTACAGTTCGATGGTTTTAGTACATTCACAATCAACTTTTTAAAATTGTCATGAGGTGTCATAGGTTTTCATAGAGGGAGCCATGTGTGGGCAATCCTTGCTGATAGGGTGGGGTGGGAGGTAGAGATGCCAGAGGCAGGTGGACCCGCTCCAGGGCATCTACCAGGTTATTGTGCCACAGACACAAGAGGTACAAAGGGCCTGGAGGGAATAGGGGGACGAGAGAAGCCCAAGGACCAGGTACCTGCTGGATGTGAGGACCCAGGGGAAAGGTGGGACCTGAGTTTTCTCCAGGGTTTGGGACTTAGGCAGCTGAAGGGAGGGGAATGTTACTTCCACATAGAGGGAAAAACCAGAAAATAGAGCCGGCTCTGAAAGAAGCATGTTCTGGAAGAGTAGGATTTTAGGGACTGCAAGTCATCCAGTTGGGATGAAAATAAATAGAGCTGGAGCCCCTGGCAGTAGGAGGCGTATGTTAACTTATGCCCAGGTGTCTTAGAGGAAGAGCATTTAGAGAGAAGCTGAAGGTAGAACATGACCTTTGAGGAGCACCCACCGTGCAGAAGTGGGATCAAGACTCCCGGACAGCCCCAGAGACAAAGCTGCAGAATCTGAGGCTGGAGACCCAGAAGCAAGGAGCCAGATGGAGTCATGGCTGGGAGAGAACACACAGAAGGCAGTTGCTGGTGAGCTCCAGAAGCAGGGGTCTCCTTTCACTCCAGGGCCCGGCTCCACAATGGCACTCAAGAAATGGCTGTTGAGTGAGTGCTTGAAGCAGGGAGTGATTAGCTGGCCAGGATGTTGAATTGAGCTCAAGGGCCATGAGGATGGAAAAAAGCCCTTTGGGGCCGCGGGTGACTGTATCAGTCAGGGTCCATTCAGAAGACAGAAACCACATGGTGATTGGAACAAGGAAAGTTTCACATAACGAATTATTAACTCTAATTGGATTGGAATAATGAGGAATTGGCTAGTAAGAAGTAAAAATAACTCCAAAGAATACAAAAATAATAGATATGAGAACAGCCCCTACCTCTAGGGTTGCCACAGAGTGCCCAAGGAAGAGGCCCCGCAGGGTTGAGATCCACACCTTGATGGAGAGGGTGTGGCGATGGCTCCCTGGATGGCAACGTCTCTGTAATGCCATGTTGGCAGAACTTGCTGGAAATCCACCCTCTGGAATTTACTGGAAATCCATCTTTTTGGGTCCCAAGGAAAGTTGTTTGTGGGAGGTATCTTGCTGGAAGCACACCGCTGCTACGTTTTCCCAGGGGAGTGCTGGGAGAAGCTCCTGGCTGTTGGGTACTCCTGACTGACGTGTTGCTGGAGCCAGGTGCTGGAGAAGCTGTCTGCATTGCAACAGCCTGGCACTCCTGCAGGAGCTGGGCACTGGAAAGCTGCATGCTGGAGAAGCTGCAGCAGCACAGGAGCTGGGTGCTGGGAAGCTTCATATCTGGCAAGACCCTGATGCTGGGAAGCGCCCATGCAGCAAGATCTGGCTGCTAGAGAAGTTGTATACAATGCAGGAACCCAACAAGAGCACACTGGGTCTAGAAAGGAAACCCACCTCCTCCTTCAATGCCTCTTCAGTGCCCTCCACAGTTGTGCCAGCTGACAAAGGAAAAGTAGTTAAAGGGCCCAGCTCCATCTTCACAGCACAGGCAATGATGGGCGAATAAACTGATAACTGGCACAGTTTACCCCTTTGGCTGCACAGCTTCCATTTGCACCTTTCTACAACATCTGAACTCCCATACAAAAACAAACAACTGGATGTCTACCTATCAAGATAGTTATCCTTCTTATGAAATTCTCACCCTTTTGCCCAGAGAGCCCCAACCATCATTCTACCAATCCCTGGCTACAATAACTTCTCAAAGTCAGTCACAGTCTCACTGAATATTCTGTTACCTAAAGACTACATTATAAAGCTAACTGTCAACAACTTGTATAGAAAAGAATGGGAAGGAGAAAAAAAGAAGAAAATGGTTACCATATTGCAAACACACCACACACACACACACACACACACACACACACACACACACACACATATATATCAAGTTAATAGAAAATGTGCAAAACCACTAGAGGCCTGGTTTCTGCATTTGTTCACAAGGCTACACTTTACACTTGCTACCTGGCTTCATTGTCTTCTTATCCCATTCTGTGTTTCCTCCACACTCAGCCAGAGCCTTAGCAGGTCATGCTTCTTTTACTTGGTGGAGTAACCCAAACCCTCATTCCCAAAGGACCTGAATCCTTAGTTATCCCGCTTTTGTTGTTGTTACCATAACTTTCCATTCAGCCTTCCTTTGGGCATGGACGTTCTTAAGAGGTGCCTGAGAGAATTCGCTGGGTTCCAGACACAGTCTTGCTTGGCTCTGTGGCTGATCAGCAATCCAGTTTTCTCCTTGGTAACTAGGATCAATCACTCCAGACAGTGGCATAACTCCTTTTTTCCACTGTCAGTTCAGTGGCGTAAGGAGTTCGAGAAAGCCAAGTGGGTGTGTGTGTCTTCTCTCCCAGGGAAAGCATTATAATATGTCCCTGGTGGGAGCACTCTCCCCCGAGGACGAGGTCAGCATCCCCAGAAGGTTTTAGAGTTGTGGGGTGGGGAAACAGGGCCACGCGCAGGGGACTAAGTGATAGAGGCTCTGGAGCTGGCAGCTGTGGACCATGCTGTAGAGAAGGTTGGAAAAGTAGAGAAACATGCAGATGACCGTGGGCCGCTTCCGCTGTGGATGATAAAATCAGACCCATGCTGGTCACTGCCAGACCCCATCCAGGACCATGTGTCTGATTCTCACATGGACTCTGTGCCACCCTGTGCCCCTGACTCCCAGGCCGTGGGAAGCCCATCTGACCCACAGCACGTGTGACCCCTAGACAGGGCTTCTCCTGGCTTGCAGCACTTGGAAATCGGTGCTGCCTTACGGAAGTCTGTGTTGGCTCATTTTGGCTCCTGAGAACAACTTCAGCTCCTTAACAGCATCTATTTTAGGTATAAATCCCCCCCCCGCTCACTTTTGGGGCTGTGTCATGGCAACCATTAGTGTGAGCAAAGCAGTCTGACTCAGACTCCCATGTGGCCGCCGTAGTGGCAGCAGGTTTGGTGTGATCATAAGTGCTCCTGCTGGTGGTGCCAGTGCTGGTGGTGCCAGTGCTGGTGGTGCCATGGCCTCGAGAGTGGTGTGAGAGCCACAAGCCGTCTTATTGTGACTCTAGAGCCAGATAAATCAGCTTTGCAGAGGGCAGGACTGCTGGCCTGTCACCAGTGGCTTTTGGTATTCTATGGACAGCTGGTAGTTTGGGTGCAAGTAATGTTTCTGAAAGTCAGGGCAATGGAATGGTGATGGCCATCTCACTGGAAAATGGCACCAAGACCCCCCTCCCTCTCCCTCCTCCTTATCCATCCCCAGTCTTATGACCAAGAGAGGTTGTGACAGGAGGGGGAAGAGTTGACAGATAGACATCTCCGTCTAGGAGGTCTCCTCCACTTTCTCCTGGCCCCTAGCTGACCCCTACCCTAGCAGATGATTGGGCAGGGGGTGGGGGTGGGGCACAAGATACTCTGCTGCCTTCTGTCACCCACATTTGCACCTCCTCCTAAGCTCAAATAGGAAATTTAGCCATGGGACTGTTATCTGTGGGCCAGGGTCACCCCAGAGGCACAAACATCGATCATGGCGCTGGCTCTGAGATGTGTGTTTAGCATGCTCATTCATGACCAAGAACTGCCACATTTGCGAAGGGTTCTGAGTTACACGGACCTGGATTTATAATCCTGCCCTGGGGCTTTCTAGCTGTGCTACCCTAGAGAGGTATTAAACCTCTTTAAGCCTCCATGTCTTCTATAAAATGGGGATAACAATAGGACCTGCTTCATAGGATTGTTTTGAGGATTGAGGATAGTGCATGTTCCTTAGCACAGTGCTTGGCACATGGTAGGTGCTCAGGAAATAGCTGCATGAATGAATGAGTGAATGACCACTGCATTGGGCAGGGCATTGAATACTGTGATTAGCATGCTCCAGTGCCCTCCTTCCCCGCTCCCACTGCAGACAAGCCTGACCAGGAGAGAGAGACTGACTGGAAACTTTGTTTTCTGGCCAGTCCGTGCCCAAAGTTAATATAGATCTGCAGCAGTCACATGCTGATTGTGAGAGAGGGAGTGGAGAGCTGTGAGCTTCTGAGTGGGGTGGACCTGGACTGTGCCTGGCTCCACCCCTTACCCACTGTGTGACCTTGGGCAGTTTTATTAATCTCTCCATACCTCATTATTCTCATCTGGAAAATGGGGATAAAAATAGTACCCACTTCAAAGGGTTGGGGTGAGGTGTGAGGATTAATGAGATGTTGACATTGTAAAGCTCTGCTCACGGGGCCTGGCATGTCGGAGGAGCTTAAGTACAAGCTCCTGCCTGAGCGAAGGCCACTTAGAGGAACTCCAGGGATTTCAAGAAAGGAGAGAAATCTGCGGGCTGGTTGAATCTGAGAGTAATCATCGTTAAGATTTATTGAGTACTTTCTCTGTGCCAGGCGCTCTTGGAAGCATTTTTAGGGCATTCCATTTTAATTTTCACAGCAGCGCTGTGAGGTGGAAAGTTCTTTCTCCCACTCGACAGCTGAGAAAACTGAGGCACAGTTTCGCCTCAGGCCACACAGCTGGTAAGAAATAAGGCCAGTGTTGGAAACCCCGCAGTTGGCCTCCCAGGGAGCCCTGGAGGGGACTGAGATTAGCCCTTAGGTCAGGAGGGTGTCAACCACAAGTCATAGACTCATACCAAAGTAGTGAAAGCTCACAGTCCCCGGAAGTTCAGAGACGTCCCTGCCTCCAGGAACAGCAAGACCAGGGGCCCAGACAGTGACTACAACGCTTTATCCCTCTGTCTTCATCTCTGAGCTCTTCGTTCTCAGGCAGGCTCACCCACATGGCGGGAAGACAGCAGCTGGCAGCCCCTGACTCACATCGACCATGTTAGCATCCTTCCATCGCATCGATAAAAAGGTTCCAGGGAGGCCTCTGATTGGCTCTGCCTGGTCACGTGCTCACCACTTGCCTGGGGTGAGGGTTGAGGTCAGCACAGGCACAACGAAAACCTTTTGACAAGCGTTTCCCACCGGGAAGGAGGGGAAGGCATCTAGGTAGAGCAGAACAACCAGAGTCCACTAGAGGAAAAGGAGAATGCAAGCAGAGGGAGGGAGAAGGACCTGCTACAGAAATGGTCAGATATTTTTCAGCCATTCAGACAGAGAACTTGAGACGGAGAAGAAGGGGCCCTTAGGGTGAGAATATTGGGATCGTGTTTGGTGGAGTGAGGATTTAGGTTTGTGGGCCGTGACAGTTTTGGTTTTGGAAGAGGATAATTATGTGCAAGCCCTTGTTGAGGAGAGACTGTGGGGTGGCAGGGGGGCCAGCAGTCCTCAATCTGAAGATGGAGAGGAGGCTTGGGTGGTCATCTCGGGGGTGCTGATGAGGCTGGGGTTGGTGAGGAAGTGGGGGCGGCAGTGGGGACAGTGTGGTGCAGGGGAGCAGTCCTGAGGCTTCAGGAGATGGTGGAGATGTAGCTCTTTGGTCTGAGAAGGGGCTGAGTGAGCGGGGGTTGGGGTTACGGATGCAGGCAGCACTGACTTGCGCTGCCCATGGGCTGGACGCAGCGGGAATGATGTGTTTGGAGGATTAAACATTTCGTGAGGGTGGGGGGTGGAGAGGGAGGTACCAGTGTTGTAGCTGGTGATGGAACTCTGTGTGGGTGTGAGGAGCTGATGATGGTTATTCTGTGGGACGTGATGATTTCATAGAACAACAGAGGTGGAAAGGCCTCAGCTACACTCTTATTTATAGAGAAGGAAATGGAGGCCAAACGCAACCGATGGCTGCAGTTGGGACGTAAGCCCTTTCTCCCATCCCCACTCTCTCTGTTTAAAAATTCATTTTTATTTACTCACAGTAGTACATGCATATAATTTAAGAAGTCGAATAGTACTAAAACCTCCTAACAAAATGCAGTGATTCCTTGCCTACTCCTACCCTTATCCTCTTCTCAGAGGCAACCGCTTTCGATTCTCTTGGCTGTTTCTTCCAGCAATTTTCATCTCATATTTCTGAGTAAAGTGCATATTTTTGATTCATCTATTTAGACATTTTCCATTGATTTCCTATTTAGTAGATCCTCTTACATGTCCAACCTTTCTGCTCTTCAGCCATCCTCCTTAAATATTGACAGTACTCTTCTTATATTTTTTCAAAAAATTGTTTGTTGTTGATTGTTTTGAGACAGGATCTCGATCTTTGCCCAGGCTGGAGTGTGGTGGCACAATCACAGCTCCCTGCAGCCTCGACCTCCTGGGCTCGAGCGATCCTCCCACATCAGCCTCTCGAGTAGCTGGGACTACAGGCATGTGCCACCACACTCGGCTAATTTTGTAAATTTTTGTAGAGACAGGATCTCCCTGTGTCATCAGACTGGTCCCAAGTGATCCTCCTGTCTTGGCCTCTCAGAGTGCTGGGATTACAGGCATGAGCCATTGTGTCCAGCCTCAAAAATGTTTTGTGCATTTGGTAGCCAGAATAATGGCCCCCCTAAGATGGCCAGGTCCTAATCCCCTGGACCTGTGAATATGTCACCTTACATGGCAAAAGGGACTTTGCAGATGTGATTAAATTAATGACCTAGAGATGAGGGGATTATCCTGGATTATCTGGGTGGGCCCAGTGTAATCAGAAGGGTCATTAGAAGTGAAAGATGGAAGCAGAAGAGTAGTCAGAGCAGGAGATGTTGATGAGGCAGAGAGTACTGTGATGGGAAAAAGACTGGCCATCGCTGGCTTTGGAGTTGGAAGGGGACCACGTGGCAAGGAATGAGGGCAGCCTCTAGATGTTGAAAATGTCAAGGAAATGGATTCTCCTTAGAGTTTCCAGAAAAGAATGCAGCCCTGCCAACATCTTGAGTTTAGCCTAGTAAGGAGAATCTTTTTTTTTTTTTACTACTGACTTGCAGAATTGCAAGATAATTTTTTTTTTTGAGACGGAGTTTCGCTTTTGTTGCCCAGGGTGGAGTACAATGGTGCCATCTCCGCTCACCGCAACCTCCGCCTCCCAGGTTCAAGTGATTCTCCTGCCTCAGCCTTCCCGAGTAGCTGGGATTACAGGAATGCACCATCATGCCTGGCTAATTTTTGTATTTTTAGTAGAGACGGAGTTTCTCCATGTTGGTCAGGCTGGTCTTGAACTTCCGACCTCAGGTGATCCACCCTCCTCGGCCTCCCAAAGTGCTGGGATTACAGGTGTGAGCCACCGCGCCCGGCCGATAATGTGTTGTTTTAAGGCATTAATTTTGTGGTACATACAAAAGTAATTTGTGTGTACATACATGCATATATACATATATATGTACACACACATATATTTGTTAAACCTACACACAGTGTTTATTTTATTATTTCGATAAAACTATTATTCACAGCTGAGCCTTGTGGTGCACTGTAATAGTTTCTTTTCGTTTTTTTTTCCCTGAAGTTAATAATTACCTTGTTTCTCATCTGCCTTATTTTTTTGTACCTGTTGCTAATTCCTACCACAACTTCTAATATAATTTTATTTTTCTTTAACAATACTGTTACCTTAGGACTTCTTTTTCTTTTTTTCTTTTTAACTGACACATAATAATTGTGCATCTCTATGGGGTACAATGTGATGTTTCAATACATGCATACATTGTGTAATGATCAAAACAGGATAGTTGGTATATCCATCACCTCCAGCATTTATCACTTCTTTGTGGTGGGCCTACCACACTTTCCAATAGCCATCAGTATTGCTTTCCACACGGGCAGTCACAGCAGGTAAAAGATGTTTCAGTTCCATTTTTTAAGTTATCTATCCTCTTTCACTCTGGGCTAGTTGCTTTCTAGGCACATTGTAGCTGATGCTCTGTGACTTCCTTTTGTGGTCATCTTTGGAATTCCCATTACTTTCCGGTTGGAATCTCTGTTTTCTGGCTTTCGTGTCCTCCTCATGCTTGGCTCACTCCCCTCATTAGAGCACATCTTCCAGGACACACATCTGTCCATATCAAAATCCATTCATGGCTGGGCACAGTGGCTCACGCCTCTAATCCCAGGACTTTGGGAGGCCGAGGCGGGTGGATCACCTGAGGTTAGGAGTTTGAGACCAGCCTGGCCAACATGGCAAAATCCCATCTCTACTAAAAATGCAAAAATTAGCCGGGCATGGCGGCGGGTGCCTGTAATCCCAGCTACTCGTGAGGCTGAGGCAAGAGAATTGCTTGAACCCACAAGGCAGAGGTTGTGGTGAGCCGAGAATGCGCCACTGCACTCCAGCCTGGGCTAGAGAGCAAGGGTCCATCTCAAAAAAAAAAAAAAGAAAGAAAGAAAAAATCTATTCAGTTCCTGGGTTTAGATAGCAGAGTATGGCCACGAGCGATACCTGTGTAGTTTTGTCAGGTAAAAAGACAGTTCGACAGCAGAGGGCATGGTGATGACGGCACTCGTGCCCCAGTCTCAGTGGGAAGGCTGGCCCTCTCTGGCTCATGCCAGGTGACTGGCATGCGGCCTCTTTTCCCCTTCATCCTGGAGCCTCCCTTCCCATCTCTCCTGTACTGGATCTTATGCGTATTAGAGGACATCTTCCTGTCCTTCCTGGGAAAGGAGCGTGAGGCCTCATATGTCTGAAGATGTCTTTACTAGGGCCCAGCACGGTGGCTTACGCCTGTAATCCCAGCACTTTGGGATGCTGAGGTGGGAGGATCACTTGAGCCCAGGAGTTCAAGATCAGCCTGGGCAACATAGTGAGACCCCATCTCTATTTAAGAAAAAAAAAAGACCCCGGGCGTGGTGGCTCATGCCTGTAATCCCAGCACTTTGGGAGGCTAAGGCGGGCGGATCACCAGGTCAGGAGCTCGAGACCATCCTGGCTAACATGGTGAAACCCCGTCTCTACTAGAAATACAAAAAATTAGCCGGGTGTGGTGGTGGGCACCTGTAGTACCAGCTACTTGGGAGGCTGAGGCAGGAGAATGGCATGAACCCGGGAGGTGGAGGTTGCAGTGAGCCGAGATCCCACCACTGTACTCCAGCCTGGGCGACAGAGCAAGACTCCGTCTCAAAAAAAAAAAAAAAGAAAGAAAGAAAAGAAAAGGGCCAGGCGTGGTGGCTCACACCTGTAATCCTAACACTTTGGGAGGCCGAGGCAGGCAGATCACGAGGTCAGGAGATTGAGACCATCCTGGCTAACACGGTGAAACCCTGTCTCTACTAAAAATAGAAAAAAAATTAGTCAGGCATGGTGGTGGGCGCCTGTAGTCCCGGCTACTTGGGAGGCTGAGGCTGGAGAATGGCATGAACCCCTGAGGCAGAGCTTGCAGTGAGCCGAGATTGCACCACTGCACTCTAGCCTGGGCGACAGAGCGAGACTCCATCTCAAAAAAAAAAAAAAAAAGAAAAGAAAAAAGAAAATGTCTTTATTTTACTCTCACACTTAAATGATAATTTGGCTGAAAATAATTCTAATTGGAAGATTGTTTAAGATTTGGTTTATTCTTTAAGAATTTTGGCTGGGCACGGTGGCTCACACCTGTAATTCCAGCACTTTGGGAGGCCAAGGTGGGTGGATCACTTGAGGTCAGGAGTTCAAGACCAGCCTGGCCAACATGGCGAAAGCTGTCTCTACTAAAAATACAAGAATTAGCCGGGAGTGGTGACGGGCGCCTGTGGTCCCAGCTACTCGGGAGGCTGAGAAATGAGAATCACTTGAACCCAGGAGGCGGAGGTTGCAGTGAGTGGAGATCATGCCACTTCACTCCAGCCTGGGCAACAGAGAAAGACTCCGTCTCAGAAAACAAAAACAAACAAAAAAACCCAACTGATCGGAAGCTCTGAGAATGATAGTGGACTTGTTGGTTTTCAAGTCTACATAGGCTGACCTGAATAAGTCATTTTGACCCCATTTTGGTACTGATGTTGGTATTGGCATCCTTAAACCTTTCCTCTTAGACTCATTCGATTCTCCAGAGAAGGAAATGGTTGTCTGGCTGCCAGTATTCTTAGAGCCCAATCGGGGAATAGCCTGAGAGACTGGACATCAGCATTTAAAATAACCTTCCCGGCCGGCGCGGTGGCTCATGCCTGTAATCCCAGCACTTTGGGAGGCTGACGTGGGCAGATCACCTGAGATTGGGAGTTCGAGACCAGCCTGACCAACATGGAGAAACCCCATCTCTACTAAAAGTACAAAATTAGCCAGGCTTGGTGGTACATGCCTGTAATCCCAGCTACTCGGGAGGCTGAGGCAGGAGAATCGCTTGAACCCGCGAGGCGGAGGTTGCGGTGAGCCGAGATCGCGGCATTGCACTCCAGCCTGGGCAACAGGAGTGAAACTCCATCTCAGAAAATAAATAAATAAATAACCTTCCTCTCCTTGGTTTGATATATCATCTTTGTCTTCAGCTGTGCCAAGTGACTCTGTGCAAAGACCCCCTATTTTATGCCCTCCAGTGACTACAGATAAACCTTCAAACTTGTAGAAGAGGGTCTAGGAATTCACTACTCTCACTCAGCCTCTCGTTTCTCACACAAGCATCCTCTTCAGCCCTAGTGCCAGAGTACCTGGTGCTGTCATATAAGCATCTGTTGAAGACTGTGTTATATATCAGCGTTCACACGCCTGTCTGAAATTTGGCTGTCACAAGTCTGCTTTCCAGATTCCACAATTTTGTTGGTGGTATTCCTTCTCTTGTTCAGCCTAATCTTGTGATTTTATGTCTTAAAAAATCTTTTGGCCAGGTGTGGTGGCTCATGCTTGGAATCCCAACACTTTGGGAGGCTGAGGTGGGAGGATCCTTTGAAGCCATGTGTTCAAGACCAGCCTGGGCAACATAGGGAGACCCTGTTTCTACAAAAAAAAAAAAAAAAAGCCAGGTGTGGTGGTACATGGCTGTAGTCCCACCTACTCAGGAGGATGAGGTGGGAGGATCACTTGCACTTGAGCCCAGGAGTTTGAGGCTGCATTGAGCTATGATACTACCACTGCATCCAGCCTGGGTGACAGAGCAAGAACCTGCTCTAAACAAACAAACAAAAAATGTTTCTATTGCATTGAGTTTAGAAGGTAGTGAGCCTTGGTATGCATATTCAAAGCTTTCAGTTCTTTTTCCACAACAGTTTTATAGTTGACGCAGTGGAGATGGTGATCATATCAGCTGTGATACGAAGATGTTTTCATGGTGGGATTCCTTGAAATTTTTTAAGTGGCTGTTAACAAACATTATTCATGGTCACTGTGGACTCTAAAAGGAGGAAATAAAAGCTGCTTTTCATGGTGGTAGGGTTCTTGGCAAGGGTTTTTTGGTGGCAGTGGTGGTGGCTGTGCAGCCCTTGGCCCAGGTGGGAAGAACGCTTTGGTATCGGAAGCAGCCAGGGCTGTGCGGTGGAAGGACCGATGTGGTGGACACCCGCTGCTGTGTTGGGACTGTGGGCCCAGGAGAGCCCACTCCCCATGGCTGGGCTGCCTGAAGGAAGAATGAAGCGTCTACGGGTAGGTGGGCAATGCTATGTCAAGGTCTGGGACCTTGGCCACCAACTGGGGCCCCCTAGGGTTGTGTAGTACATGGCCCGCCCAGACACATACTGGAGGATTTTAGGTGATGGACACGATTTTGAGGGACTGCTACTGACAGGGCTGGTCCATTGAGCAACACGAAAGGGTTGACCCAGGTCAGCTGCATTTTCTGTGAGGACAGTTTCTGCAGCTCAGATGTCAGAGTCTTGGGTGGAGGAAGGGGAGGAGGAAGAGAATCTTCCTTTCCTTTCCTGTCTGGGGTGTCTGCCCTTGGGGCCAATGCCCTGTGAAGTTCTGCTTTTCCCTCCAGCTTCCTTCCTCTCCAGAGCTTCTCTGAACCTCGCCACACCCGTGGCGGCACAGATGCCCTCTGGGTGTCCCTAAGCCTAGGGCAGCATCAAGACAACCCTCCCGCCCCGCTTCCTTTGTGCCTGGGTCTCCCCCGACTCCATTTGGGGTGCCCTGTCCTTGTCAGCCCCTTGTGTGTCCACTGTGCCTGTGGGGCCGCAACAGCTTCCTTGGCCGGTCAGAGCTATTAATAGAAGGGGTCCTGCTCTCCCATTTCATTGGTGGGGAAACTGAGGGCCGGGGAAGCCTCCGTCAGGAGTAGATCCCACCCCTGCGGACTTTGGGCTCAACGTTCTTTCCAATCAGACTCTGCCCCTCTTAGCTTCTGACCCTTTCGAAGGTTTTTGTTTTAGTGTGGCTGGAGATGTCTGTGGTAACAAATGGGGAGTGAGGCTTGACAGGGAATCACTGGCTGCTAAGGGCTGGCAGCCGAGTGCTTCTGGGTTGGACCAGTTCTCTTTTGGGATCTTCAGAGTTGCTTCTGTGGTGTGTGTTGGGGGACGTGAACCCAACCCCTCAGAACTTTAGTGTCAGAGAGATCTGGGTTCATGCCTCTGATGGGTCCTGGCCTTGTTGATCTTACCGTCACCTGTAAACTGGGCACGGCACAGCAGCTGCCCAGATGCAGAGCACGAGCCAGGCCCTGAGTGGCATGTGGCCGATGGAGCTGCTCTCCGCTGCCGTCCACCCTCTCGGGACCCGGGCAGCAAACCTTCCTTAAGCCCAGCACTGCGCTGTGCCTAGGGGTATGGGGAATGGACGCAGTGCACCTGGGCTGCCTCAGGGCTCAGCTGTGGGGCAGGTCCGCTTCAAGCCTTTCTGGGTTGACCTGATGGAGCTCTTCCTGTCCTGGCCCTAAGAAGCTCCTCCTGCCAGCTCCTTCCTCCCACTACCCCCTGGGGCACAGCCAGGGCTGGGGCACCCACTCCCAGGCAAGAATGCACCCCTGGAGAAAGGGGCTAGGCCTGTAGGAGAGCCAAGCCTGTGCTTTCTCCCGGTCCTGGTTTTCCAGGGAGCCCTGACTGGAGGGGGATGGGAGGAGAAGCCCAGGAGGGAGGGGGAGCTGGGGAAGCAGAACCAGGAACTGGAAGGGGAAGGGTGTGGGTGGGCCCAGATCCAGCCTGCCTCCCGCTCTCCCTTGCCTGCCAATCCCCTCCTGGGCCCTGGCACACTCAAGGCAGGGGCTTGGCGGCCGCCTCCTCCGGGGGTGGGGAGCAGGGGAGCTCTTGTGTGTCTCTGAGTGAGGGGGCTGAGACAGCAACACCCCCACCCCAGCTGTGGCCTGAGCTGCAGGCTTTGTTATTTCTCTGGCTTGAGGCCTACACCTGGAGCAGAGGGAAGAAAAGCCCCTAAACTCAGCCGTGTGGGTTCAGAGGACCCCTCAAGCCCACCAACTCTGCAGGCAAATGAGGCTGGTTCATGGGGTGGGGGAGAGAGCAGCCTCACTCCTGCCTCAGTGTGGCCGTGGCCTGTGGCCTTGGCCGTGGCCGTGGCCTCTCCCTCCTAGGCCAGAGCCAACCAGGCCTGCAGCCTGAGCTCAGACCTCAGCTTTCTCTGGGCCCAGGCACCGGTCCTGAAGTGAGGTGACATTCATTTCACTACATCCTGTGACTGCACTCACTTCCTCCACGTGGCGGGAGGTGTGGGGGTGGGGGTGAGGACAGATTAGAAGGAAAACGTAGCTGGGCTAGGGGCCTCTGGGGGAGGCTGGGATTTCCCAGGGGCTGGTTGGGGTGGGAGGGAGGATGCGGGAAGCTTTCAAAGGAGAGAGAGGCTGTGAATGAAGAGAAGGGAGGAGGCGGAGGCAGCTGGAGGTCCCAGAAGTGGCACCCATTGGCCGCAGCGACACGGAGGGGAGACTGCTGCCACTCCAAGGCTCTCAGAGGCTGCTGGGGTAGGAGGTGGCCCTGAAGGGAGCCTGCCTCGGTTTCTCTGCTCTCTGGGGTGCTGGTGAGGCCAGAAGGAGGAGCAACACCCCAGGCCTCACAGGCCAGGTGTGGCCCTGGGCTGAGGGCCTGACCCAGGGAGGGTGGGGTGCTCCGCCCCACTGATCCTCTTCTCTCCCCCACAGGTGGAGCCATCGAAGCCCCCACCCACAGGCTGACAGAGGCACCGTTCACCAGAGGGCTCAACACCGGGATCTATGTTTAAGTTTTAACTCTCGCCTCCAAAGACCACGATAATTCCTTCCCCAAAGCCCAGCAGCCCCCCAGCCCCGCGCAGCCCCAGCCTGCCTCCCGGCGCCCAGATGCCCGCCATGCCCTCCAGCGGCCCCGGGGACACCAGCAGCTCTGCTGCGGAGCGGGAGGAGGACCGAAAGGTGAGCAGCGGGCTCTGCTGGGGACCCTCTGGCCTGGGAGAGGGAGAGCCCTGTCCCTATGTGATGACAGCCGGCTCCTCATACTGAGTGCATGACCGCATCACTCAGTGCTCACGACAGGGTGTGGGACCATCACATCCCTGTTTGGGTGATGAGGAAACGGAGGCTTGCAGAGGTTCAATTCTGGTGATGGAGCAGGCATTTGGTTCCAGGACCCAGGCTTTTAACCACCATGGCATTCGCACAGTGGCTCAAAGCCCAGGTCTGTGCCATTGTGAGGGTTCGGCCTCACAGAGAGTCCCAGAACCTGGATTCCTTCTCGGACCCGCCTCTTACTAGCCGTGGGCCTTCACGTGAATCACTTTCTCTCTCAGCTGCCTCTGTTTCCTTAAGGTGTTCAGTAGCTTCTAGGGGACCAAAGACAAGTTCTGGGGTGGGGCACGGCAGACACGAGGCCGCGGGGGCCCACCCTCCCACACAGACGGAGGCACAGGCTGGGCTCAGTGTGGCGCCAGCACACTTTGGAGATGGTGATTTCCTGTCCCCGCCCCCCACCCCAGACTCCAGGTGAATGTCGCTGGGTTATCTTTGGTATGGCTTTTGGCCACGGAGCTGGTGACCTCCATGTTTTCAGAATCTAGTTGGGGGTGGCCTCTCCACCCTTCTGCTGAACTCCAGGTTGTGCCTGAATCAGTCAGAGGAGATTACATCAGACTGATGGGAGTCCCTGCTGGGTCTCCACAGGCTGTCTTGGGACCTTACCAAGCTGTGTCCCCATGATAGGAAAAGCTGCCCCTTAACCCCCAGCACTGGACTGTGTTGCCCTCTGTCAGTGGAATGGTGAACTCACTGCCACCCTCCAGGGGATCTTATGATGGCCATAGGCCTTCCTGGCATGTCTGTCTGCTGTGCCTCTGTCCACAGTTCCCCCTGCCTGCTCCCCTTCCCCTGAGTAGCGCTGGGGGTTGTGCTGCTTGGTGGTGTCTGGGAGTAGCTGGGCATGCTCATGGGGGCACCAGTTGGTTCTTTTGGAACAAAGGTGGACACCTGGCACCAGCTTTGGGGGCCCTGGGCACTCTGGGGCTAGAGGCAGCCAGCACCCTACCTGAAGGGTGTCAGCTCTGAGACCTCCCTCTTGCGTGCTCAGCTCCTTCCTGGGTTTACCATTCTTCAGAGTGTGTTTCTGTTTCCTAGTTTTCCATCAATGGTTCTATTTGGTCCTTGGGGACAACTCTTGAAACAAATGGGGCAGGGACAGATGGCCCCAGTTTACAGATGAGGAAGCTGAGCCCCGCTGGGCAGTGGCAGGTCCAGATGACAGCCTGTTCTCCTGTCTCCCAGGTCCGAGCCCTTCCCACAGCCCTACCTGCATAGGTCCTGCTAGGGACACATGTACACATCCCAGGAGTGCACATGACGCCCAGGGACCTGCCTTCCCAGCCCAGCACCCTGTAGAGCACCGTGGGGGTGTGTGCACCCAGTCAGCCAGAGCAGGTCAGAAAGCCAGCATGCGCTGCGGCCCACTGGGCAGGACGCCCGGGGCGACCGATCAGGCTCCTCCCTTCTGAATCCATGGGAAAAGAACTGATAGTCCTGGATACCTGCGGGCCCCTAGGCTGCCCCCGCTCAGGACTCAAGCAGCATGAAGACCCAAGCCCTTTGGCCGTAGAGTTGGGGACACCTGCCGCTGTCTGTGCTCTGGAGTGGCAACTGTGGCCATGGCTGACTCCCTCCCCTTCTTGGGCCTGGCTTGCTTTCTCTGTCGGATAAGGTGACCCCGAGTGTCGCCCCACTCTGGGTCCGATGTCCTGACAGTTGCTGACGCAGCTCCCCATCAATGCACTGGCAGTCACTGGTCAGCTGCTCCCCACAGGTGGGGAGGGTGGGGACAGCTGGGACAAACTCCTCCTGTTACTGGACTGTACTCCCACGCCGCTGCTGCTGCTCTGGGCTGCGGAGCCCCAGGCCACCACCAATGGACGGGAGCAGGTCAGGATCTGCATTATAATAGCTCAGGACTGAGAAGCAACGCTGGACCAGGAGTCAGAAATCCCAGGTCCTAGTCCTGAGTATGCCACTTACTGGAGATGTGACTTCAGGCCATCTGGGCTTGTGTTTGCTCAGCTGGAAAATGGGGATAGTGACTCCAGCCTTGCCTGTTTTAAAGGGTGGTTGTGGAAGTCAGATAAGGTCATGGGCATGGAAGTGACCTGCAGACAGCAAAGTCTGGTCCAATTATGAGGGATTACGATTGCTATTATTATCTACCCATAGTAACTGCTCTGGCTCAAGCGGCAACAAACACACACCCAGCCCTAGATCCCGGTGCTGATAGAGTGCACACTCACACCCCAGCAGGAGGGGTCATGCCAAAAGATGGCAGTGATCTGGATAGATAAGGGCTGGGCCATAGCCAGGCCTCCTCCCCAGCCGCCCACACCTACACCACGCATGCTGGCTCACCTGGCACACTTCCCCGGCACCTCTGGGCTGGCTCCAGCACCTCCAGGGAGCCGCCCAGGGAGGGTGGGGAGAGACACTGACAGCCACCACAGCAGCCCATGAAAGCCAGGCCTGCGGCAGGGGTGCTGGTAGCTGCAGAGGGGAAGACACAGGCTTGGTCTGCAGCCCAGGGAGCCTGGCACAGGTGCCAGGGGCACTGTGCACAAAGGAACTGTTTGGCAAGCCAGATGGAAGGGGTGTGGCCAACCAATGGCCCTTCCACTGCCTGGCCCCATGTGGCCCTCTAGCCTCTGCCCACCGCCGCCCCCCCTCCCCGCCCCCGCCCCCAGCCCCGCCTCCATGCACCTTTCACTCCAGCCCCACTCCCATACTTCCTGGAGTCTCCAGGTCTTTGTTTATGCTGCTCCCTCTGCCGCATGGGCCCTTTCCCTAATCTCTTCTCCTCCCTGGTCAAAGCCTCAAAGCCCAGGCTGTAGTTGGCCTTGTATTATAGTTTGCAGGGGACCAGTGGTTCTCAAAGTGGGATCCCCAAATGAGCAACTTCAGCATCACCTGGGAAGGCAAAGCTCAGGCCCCATTCCAGACCTGCTGAGCCAGAACTCGGGGGATGGGACCCAGCCGGGCACCTTTAACCATCCCTCCAGGGGATACTGTTGCGCACAGATGTTGAGAACTATTGGTGTAGATAACTTCTGCCCACTGCTAGCCTGGAGCGCAGGGTCACGGCCCTTTTCTTCCATGTGAATCCCCCGGACCTGGAATAGCACAGAGTGGGTGCTTGGGAAATATTTTACGGATAGAACGGAAAGAAAAATGAGAGTAGCCAAGACCCTCCCACAGGAGAATAATCCCGGAGCCCAGGATCAGGGAGGCGGAGTGCAGAGCTGTGGGTGCTGGGCTGAGGCAGCCATGCTGTGGCTGGGAGTGTACAGAGTGGCCTGTGTGTGTCCCCCTGGCACCTGCCGCCTGCCCTACCCGCCATCCATATGGTGGGCAGAGCAGGGCTGCTTGGGGAGATGGGGAGGAGGCAGGCCGAGCTCTGGGGCTGTGGTCAGGGCGAGTCAGCTGGTAAATGTTGCCGCAGCAGAGGGAGGGGGCTGGCCTCATGGAGGGTGGGTGGGGAGGCAAGCAGTGGGGAGGCTGAGAGCTTAGAGGGGAGTATGGAGCAGAGGGTGGGGGGCAGAGGGAGCAGGACAGGGGACCAAGAACAGTCCAAGGGCCACCTCAGATCCCCAAATATGAATCAGAGGGGAGTCCACAGCCCCAGGCCAGGCCCCTGTTCTCAGTTCTGTCCCCTTTCCTCTGGCCTCAGAAACACAATGGCTAAGATGCATTGAACGCCGACTGCCGGGTGCTATGTGCATGCATTATCTTATTCCATTCTTTTTTTGTTTGAGACGGAGTCTTGCTCTGTTGCCCAGGCTGGAGTGCAGTGGCGTGATCTTGTTTCACTGCAAGCTCTGCCTCCCGGGTTCACGCCATTCTCCTGCCTCAGCCTCCTGAGTAGCTGGGACTACAGGCGCCCGCCATGCCCAGCTAATTTTTTGTATTTTTTTTTTTAGTAGAGACGGGGTTTCACCATGTTAGCCAGCATGGTCTCGATCTCCTGACCTCATGATCCACCCGCCTCGGCCTCTCAAAGTGCTGGGATTACAGGCGTGAGCCACCACGCCGGGCCTATCTTATTTAATTCTTACAATTGCCGCATAAGGTAGACACTATTATTTTCATCATTCTATCTTATTAAGGGCTAAACTGAAGCTCAGAGAGGTTAAGTCACTTGCCTAGAGTCACACAGCTTGTTAAGTGCTAGTGCTGAGGCTGGAATGAGGCTGGCTTCTGCGCTCCTTAGGCTGTCTCCTGCGTGAAGGGGGATGGAGTGAACAGTGCCCCCCGGTGGTGATGTGATGAGAATTCGTAGTCCTCCCCTGGACTTTTGCTGCAGGAGAAAGCCTTTCACTGCATAATGGCGCTCTTGCCCTTGGGGAGAAGTTGGGGGCACTTCATCTCCAGCAAGAACTGCACACACCACCTGCGTGTACAGGCACACACACCAGATGGAGGCACTGCTGCAGACATGCAGCTTCTTACCATTTCTTCCTGCCTCCTGCCCTCCTTCCTTCCCTGCCTCTCCCTCCCTGGACATACAGCTCCTCTTTTCTTCTCTTCCTCCCTCCCTTTCTTCAGACATAGGTACCTTTCCAGGTAGTTAGCATGTAGCAGGGCTCCGCAAGGCTGTTGGATGAACTGAGTGACCGTGCTTGGAGGGCCTAGTAGAGGGGTAGGAAGACATCGAGGTGGGTAAGCCATGCCTGCCCCCCAGGGGTGGGTGAGGCCTGCTGGGCAGCTCCTCTGATCAAGCCTTCTCCTGCCTGTAGTAGAAGCTGCAGCTGGGGTGCATCTTTGTGCTGGGGAAACACAGCACTTATGTGTTTGCACATGTGCGTGCGTGTGTGTGTGTGTGTGTGTGTGTGTGTGTGTATGCATCTGTGGGCAGCATTGGGGCTGCGGTTCCTCCTTTCCCCTCCCCATCAAAGTCTGGCCCAGAGGCCTGGCAGCCACTGATTTCTCGTGGGCTCTCTCCACTCTGGTCTGCAAGTACAAGGGCCTCCATCCTTGGGTGGGGTCCCTGCCAGTTCCAGTGGCAGTCATTCTTGCTGCCCGCGGTCTGTCACCTGCTCCTGGGCATGTTCTGCCTTTCTTGCACTCAGATGCCCCCACATGGTCACTTAGGGCTGGCTCTTTGCTTGACAGTGGTTGCGGTAAGGTCATTTCAAAGAGCATCCTTCTTAGTATGTTTAAATAGCTATAGAAAAGCCGCTGCACCCTCACCTCTTCAGAGACCCAGCCAGCGATAATGGCGCGCTCACTCTGATCTCGGGGGAGTTAGGAGAGGGTTGGGCGTGCTTAGCAGGTTTGTGATGTAAACAGTGCCCATCCCTGAGCTGAGCAGGACCTACATTTTGGGCTTCGGTTTCTCTAAAATTCTCTTAAATTGGACATTATTACATGTCAAATGTAGTTAATCTTGGTCAGTACAGTCTTGGATGGGGGTTGTTTGGCCCCTGCAGAAGGGCCTGTGTTGAAGCTGGACTCTGTCACGTGACTTGGAAACATGGCTGTGAGCAGGAAAACAGCTCCTAGTTGGCTTGAGAGGTTCAGACGAGATGGTGTGTGCAAGTGGTTAACACCAGGACATAGCATATGTTAAGTTAGCTTTATAATTTATTTTGGATATCTACCTACCCATCCACCCACCCACCTACCTGCCTACCTACCTACCTACCTACACCTTTGTGGTTTACACCCACTGCCGCCCCATGAATTGCAGGGGCGTGGGAGAAGAGTAGGAAACCATGGGTGGGGACAGAGTGTGGGCTTAGAGTCCACTGAGAGCCTAGCACGTGAAGGGAATGTTGTCTCTCTTTGGGTCATCAGTCACTAAAGGCCTGAGTTCCCTTTATCCCTTGAACAAAAGTAAAACAAGGCAAGTGGTGATGAGACCTAACTCCTGATGGCAGGGGCTGTAGATCCCTTCAGGGGCCTAGGTGAGGGGCCACAGTCACTTGGGTCCCTCCTGCTCTTAATGGCCGGGTTAGGGATGGAGCCCAGCCCTGCTGATAAGGTGAGTCGCCCAGGGCCAGGGCAGGAAAGGCCAGGCTCAGCTGTGCAGAATAGAAGAATGGGCCAGGCGCAGTGGCTCACACCTGAATCCCAGCACTGTGGGAGGCCAAGGCAGATGGATCACTTGAGGTCAGGAGTTGGAGACCAGCCTGGCCAACATGGCAAAACCCCGTCTCTACTAAAAATACAAAAATTAGCCCAGCGTGGTGGTGCGTGCCTGTAATCACAGCTACTTGGGAAGCTGAGGTGGGAGAATTACTTGAACCTGGTAGGTGGAGGTTGCAGTGAGCCAAGATCTCGCCATTGCACTCCAGCCTGGGTGGCAAGAGCAAAACTCCATCTCAAAAAAAAAAAAAAAAAAAAAAAGCTGCGGTGTGTGGTGGCTCATGCCTGTAATCCTAGCCCTTCGGGAGGCTGAGGTGGGCAGGTCACCTGAGGTCAGGAGTTCAAGGCCAACATGGTGAAACCCTGGCTGGGAAAAAAAAAAGAAAAAGAATAGAGCTGAGTGGTGGAGCAGTGTCCCAGGATAATTGGGAAATGAGCCTTTCCTCTCTGGTACCTGGGCTTGGCACAGGAGTCCTGGTCATACCCTGCAGCTGCCTCTGCAGAGAGCCACAGGGCATTAGGGATATTCCTTGTAATCATCCCACGTAATGTTTGTGCTGCATGGAAGGGCATGTAAAGGAGTGTTCTCTGCACGGTAATTGACTCATTCTGTCATCATGATTAGTTAGGGGGCGCCCAGAGCAGGATGATGGTCAGAGGTTCCTCATCCCCATTTTACCGATGAGGAACTGGGGCTTAGAGAGGCCACACGGCTACAAAGTAGTTTTATCTGGATCTTCCCCTCTATTAAGCAAGGGCTGGCAGAGCTGGGTGTGCTACTGAAGGAGCAGACATGTGTGGGCTTGGTGCCATGGAAGTGGCCACAGGCAGAGCAGTAGCACACTCCAGTCTGGGCTCAGCATGGCATCAGGTACTTGTTTACATGTTGTTGTCTCCCTCTGAACCGAGTTTCCTATTTGTTTATCTTTGTATCCAGTACACAGTAGGTGCTCAATAGATTTTTTTAGTGCACCCCTGTGTCTGGCCTTGTGACATAGAGACCTCAGAGGTGGACAGGGCTGAGGTGTGCTGCTCGTGGGTGTGAGGTCTGGCCCACCCTGCACCTCCAGAAGACAATGAGGCCCCAGCCAGGTGGACAGGCTGTGGACAAGGGGCTGCAGCCCTGGCACGAGGGCCTGGGAACCAGATGGGCACCACCGTTGTCAGCTATTTAGCATTTCTGGAACACCTCTGTGTGCAAGTACCCAGGAGCTGTGGGGGACTCAGAGGCGCCAATGAGACACGGCCCCTCCCCTCCAGGAGAGTGGCCTTTCAGGAGGATGGAAGGCTTTCCTCGGTAATTATGACACGACCTAAGCAGTCAATGGTTACTTGTCGGATATTGTTGAATAATTGAAATAAAGGGCTGATGAGCCTTGGGAGGTGACTGAGATCAGAAAAAGTAGGGGGCTTTGGAGGGCTCTGGGCCCATGCGCATCTACAGTGATTCCCAGCCCACTGCCTGACCCCTCACGCTGGGATCAGCCTCTGCAGGTTGGCCTGGGCACGGGTGTGTGTGCAAGCATATGTGAGTGTCTGTGTGGCATTGGGGTACGCAAGCGTGTGGCTGTAGCTCTGCAGAGCCTGGTGCTCAGGCAACCCAGGACAGGGCTCTGCCTCTTGCAGAAGCCAATTCGTTTCACTGAATTCCATGACCACAGACAGTCCCTGGGAGGCCAGCCAGCCAGCTGGCAAAGGCTGGGCATGCTTCTTGTCCCAGGGGGCCCGGGCAAGTAGCTGGCTAGATCCGGCAAGTTCATCCCCTCGACTCAAGCACCAACTCGAGACATCTGCTCAACCGATGCTGGGTCAGTAGCATCCGGTTTAAGTACTGAAGGGAATACACGTATGTCAGGCTGGCTGTCTCTAGGTGAGGGCCTCAAGAGACATAAATCTCTTGTGGGGAGGGGTCCTGTGTCTGGGCACAGCCAGCCCAGAGTGTCTGTGCCTGTGAATGCCAGTGTGCCTTGACCTTGGATTGCCTGTATCTTTATGGTGTCACTGTGTGTGTGCCTGTTGACATGGTAGGGTATAGTGGCATGTTGCAGTAGAAAGACCGATGGACTGGTAAACAAAAGATGTAAATTTTGGTTCTAAAGGCCTCCTTTCCTGGCTCTCTGATCCCTGCAAGTCAGATAATCTCTCTGAGCTTCAGGTGTTTCATCTGTGTAACAGAAAAAAATAATACCAGCTCTGCTTTCTGTAAAGTGTAAGAATACAATGAAATAACATATGTGAAGATGCTTTGTTAATTACCACGTTCAGTGCAAATGTGAGAGATTATTATCGTCATAGCCCAGCGCATCAGAATGAGACGTTGTATATGGCTTAAAATAATCCATCCAGTGAGCAGTGTTGAAATGTAGGTCAGATCGTAGCCTCAGATGTTTAGAGAGAGGAACCACCTAATCTCACAGGCCACCAAATGTGAAGGTGCTTTGAAAGCTGCAAAGAATGACATAAATGCAAAGTGACAATTATGTTTAAGTCTAGAAGGGACGTTTTAGTCCTCTTGTTTCCTAATCTGGAATCGTAAAGATCCGAGAGGCACTGGAACCTCGTACACAGTTGTATTTGTACGGGTTTGTAGATTTGTACGTGTGTCTCTGTTTGCGTCTATGGACTCACGTCAGGCACCTACTCTGTGACAGTCATTCATCAAGTGCCTGCCTTGGACTAAATGCATCCGTCTAGGCATTCTGGATGCCAGCATGAATCAGACACCCACACTTCCCTCAAGGAGCTGACCGTTGCCTTGCTGGGTAGGGGAACTATAGGAGAGGAAGGGTCTTTCAGCTCAGTCTAGGCAGGGGATGGGAGGAGGGGGCCTAGGGGCAGGGAATCCAGGATAGGAGGCTGGAAAAGCGAGTAACAGTTTGCTGATAAACCTGAGGGGAAGGTGGTGTGGTCAGAAGAACAGTCTATGCCTAGGGGCTGAGGCCGGAAGCAGTTTGCTTTCGCGCTTGGTGCTGTCTGTTGGGACCACAGTGTGGAGAAGAGACCAAGGCGATCCAGCCAAATCCTGGGGACCGCCCTGCACATGAGCTGAGGAGCTTGGCTGGATCCTCCTGGCCCCCGGGAACCCCCGTGGCAAAGGTTTAAGCTCTGCAGAGTGGCATAATCAGCTTTGCATTTTGGAAAGCTCCTAGAGCCCCAGTATTGCCACATATCTTGCGGCAAGAGCGCCCGCCAGATGTTGGGCTCTGTGTGATAGTGAGGGATCGCTGCATATGGTGGGCGGCGTGCTGGGATTTGCACGAGGCAGGGAGAGGGGGATGGGGAGGATGGAGTGGGAGTGAAGTACGAATCAGGATGTGTGGAGCGGGGGAAGGTAGCAGTTCTCGAGTGACTATCACGTGTCAGCTTTTGCTACATCACCTCATTTAATTCTTATAACATCACTGTGAAGTAGATATCATCCCATTTTATAGATGAGGAAAGCAAGACTCAGGGAGGTTAAAGAGCTTGAGGTTACTCCTAAGCAAAGAGCAGAGCGAAACTCCCAGCCCGGCTCTGCCCTCTCCAAAGCCTACGTGTCTGGAATTTCCACCCCCTCCCCTCTGCGCTGGAAGTGTGGACGAATTCAGTCCCCTGGCTTGACAGATGAGGAAACCAACCTGGGCTCAAATCTGTTCCCGCGAACTGTGTTACTGTTCTTCAGCTGTCCCATGTCACCACGGATCAGATTCTTTTCTTTCAGAGTATTAGCAACGCCTCCTAATTCAGGGCTACTTGCAGATTTGATAAGCATGTTTTACATTCCTTTGCTCAACCCATCAGCAAAGATATGGAATAAAACAGACCCCGTGACAGATGCGAGAATGAACCACTTGCTACGCTTCCTTGGAGCCATTGAGGGGCACGGCCCAAGCCATCTGCTCACCCTTCTTGGCGTGTTAGCCCCCTCCCTCCGCAGAGGGAACCTCAGGCAGGCCCAGAGCAGAAGCATCGCTTCCCGCTTTGCCCTAAGACTCCATCGCGGAAGAGTTGGCAGAAGAGAACATGCTTTTCACAACGCTGCTCTTAGGGCCAAATGTCAAGGGGAAGGGCCAGGAGTTGTTCAGACCTGGCTCTCGTGGAGACTCCAAGCACGACCCAGAAGCATGCGGGGCCTGAATGCTGGGCCAGCCGTAAAGCTCCTTGCACCAGGTGTGGGGTACACACAGCACCCCTGCCTGGCACTCCCCGCCCTCTCTGGACCTGTCAGGACCTGGAGAGGTGGCCTGGCACCGGGGGGTCCACCCCTTCCTCCTGGGCTGGGTTGCACGGAATTGAATCCAACAGGGAAAAAAATGTGCCGAGCACCTACAGGCCCTGCACACGTGGTGTAGGTGAGAGATGCCAGCAGGACTGCATATGGCAGAGGGGTGGCCTGTCGGGGCCCCCAAAGGCTTTCTCCGCATGCCCAGTGGAAGCTGGTGCCCATCGTGAAATGTCAAGCGTCTTTATTTTTAGGTCATTGCTGTGTGGTAACTGTGGTTCCCTTTCACTGATCAGACGCTCTGGTTGGCTTTCACATCTCTGATTAGTTCAGAATAAAAGAAAGTCAAATGACTCCCTCTGTCACAAATGCAGCTTGTTAAAGAAATAGTTTAAAGCCCAGAATTTATGGGCAGTAGGAGTTTTTCCAGAATCTGCCCTAGGCGCTGGGGATTCAGCAGTAAACAAAACAGACAAAGGGGCAGACCCTTTGTGAAGCTGTCTTCTCAAAACCTGAGAAGCAGACAGGATGGACACCTCCCTACCCCCATTTTATGGATGAGGAAACTGAGGCTCCGAGAGGCTGCTCCTGTAACTAGGAAATGGACAAGCTGGGCTCATGCCCACTTTGCTTTTTCCATGACCTCACATGACCCCTAATGATTTTACAAGTGCTGATCAAGACGGTGCCCATTTGGCACTGGTTGAATCGGATTAGAAGCCCCACCTCAGCCTGAAATTCTTAGCAGTTGTGTAGATCCAATCAGAACCTTCACAAATACTAAGCTGCACTGGCAATACGTCCTCTCTGTGTGATCCTTTCTTACACTCGGGGGTCTGGGGTCTTCAGAAGATGGTTCAGAAGCAGCAGGCCTCCCCTCCCATGGGGCGTGTGCCCTTGGGCACCCTGAGCCCTCATGAAGGCTCCCGCGAGTTTGCTCCTCCTCCCACAGCCTTTCTGCCCTCACCGCCCGTCTGCTGTGCTTTCCTGAAAAGAGCCCCTGAAGGATCTCCGGCCTCGGGGCTGGCCTCTCCCTCCACAGACGGCACGGGGCTCCCCAGTCCCCTGGCATCCTTTCCAGATGCTTCCTCTGCTGTGCTCCTTAAATTGCCCTCTTTGGTCCTTCTCCAGCCCTCACTGCCGTGTCACTCTGCACAGCTTAGTGACAGTGCTCTTGAAGGTCAGCCATTCTGACCCCTAGCCAAGCCTCCTCATCCTCAGTATCTTTCTCAGACAGCTTTGGTCTCCAGTGTTGGCAGCCCTCCCCTTCCTTGCTCCCACAACACACCAGGGTCCTCTTCTGCACCTCCGAGCATTCTCTCTCTATCTCCTGTGTGAGCTCTGCCTCTCTCCAGCTTGACTGTGGCCACCACCTATGCTAAGACCGGGCACCTCTGTTCACCCTCCATGTGCATGTCTTTGGAGGCCTCCCAGAACTTGAGCCATGATGGTCTGCCCTGCAGACATGCCTCAGCTGGAGGATGGATGGAGGGGCCAGGGATGCTCTTCCCGCTGGTCTTATGTCTACAGCTGGTCACAGTAGGTTTCCATTTGTGTGTCCCACTGTCACCTAAAAATTAATGTGGCAAACCACAAGGTATTTTGCAATCACAGAAAATGAAAGTTGAGTAGGTTGTTGAGGGCCATCTTACTCAGGTCTCCAGGAGAGCTGTGGACCCTCTTCTACCTCTGTGCTGCCAGCACTGCCCTGGGTTGGCCCCTCCTTGGGGAGGGCCCAAAAGCCATCTTTGGCTCCTGACATCGTGCAGGGTATGAAGAGCAGCCTGTGGCCCATCTGCAGGGTCAGGACGTCTTTCTCCCCACTTCCCCAGCATCATTTCTGCTGGGGATTAGTCATGCCAGAGCCCAGCTGAGTCAGAAGGGACTTGTGGGTGGTTTGTGGCCAGGCTGGAGTAGTGAGGCAGGACTTTCTAGGTTTATGTCTCTGTGCCCCAGGAGACAAGCATGTCAGGGCCCAGCCGTGCACAGGTGTTATGTGAGGGGCGGGGAGTAAAACAAACTTCTGTTCCAAACTCGGTGAATGCAAGAGATGGAGAGGAGCTGAGATTCGGTCCCTGAGATCCTCCTGCAGGCTGACAGGCATGCGCGGTGCCAGCTCCACATGGCAGGGGTGTTCACAGCTGTACAAGTCCTCCACTTTCCATAGTTGTCCATTTCGAGTATTGCCTGGACTTCAAATAGATATTGCTAAATTTAATATTTCTTTTCACTTGATTTTCTTTTTTTTTTTTTGAGACAGTCTCGCTCTGTCTCCCAGGCTAGAGTGCAGTGGCGTGATCTTGGCTCACTGCAACCTCTGCCTCCCAGGTTCAAGCAATTCTCCTGCCTCAGCTTCCCTAGTAGCTGAGACTACAGGCGCGTGCCACCATGCCCGGCTAATTTTTTGTATTTTTAGTAGAGATGGGGTTTCATCGTGTTAGCAGGATGGTCTCAATCTCCTGACCTCATGATCCACCTGCCTCAGCCTCCCAAAGTGCTAGGATCATAGGCGTGAGCCACCATGCCCAGCGATTTTATTTTCAATAAAGGTGATTCATTAAGTAGATCACAAATGTAATTGTGTATCTGTGAACAAAAGCTTTCTCATATAAATAAACTTTTAACTCAAATCCTTTATCAGAGCTTGTGTTATGATTTTATGGTTCGGAAAATGTGGTCATAAAGAGAGAGAGATGCCTTCCGGGGGGACAGCAGCGTCTGCCCTGAAGTTCCCCAAAGGATGTATTATTTATATATATATATATATATATATATATATATATATATATATATATATATATATATATTATATTATTTAGATATATAAATATATATCTAAATATATATCTAAATAATATATTATTTAGATATCTAAATAATATATTATTTAGATATCTAAATAATATATTATTTAGATATATATATGGGTGTGGGTATTTTTATAGAGATGGAGTCTCACTATGTTGCCCAGGCTGGTCTCAAACTCCTGGCCTCAAGGGATCCTCCTGCCTTGGCTTCTCAAAGTGCTGGGATTACAGGCATGAGCCACGGTGCCTGGCCAAGGATATATTTTAAGTGGGGCTCTGAGGGGTGCCTCAAGCCTCATCAGGCAGGAGGGGAGTTGGTGGGGGCATATTACACAGCCCTGGAAGTGTGGCTCGTGGGACAGGAGGAGGCTGGGGCTGGAAGGGAAGCCAGGGCCAGCCCCAGACAGGCCTGGAATGCTACACTGCTGGGATCCACCTCTGGCCTCACAGGCTGTGTCTGTGCCTGCAGGACGGAGAGGAGCAGGAGGAGCCGCGTGGCAAGGAGGAGCGCCAAGAGCCCAGCACCACGGCACGGAAGGTGGGGCGGCCTGGGAGGAAGCGCAAGCACCCCCCGGTGAGTGTCACATCCTACACACCCTCCTGTGCACACACACAACACACACGTGCCTGGCCTGTCGATGGCAGTGATGTATGTCCTGCAGGGACCTGGAGACATTTAAGACCAGGTGATGGGGTATACCCCTCCAGCTGCAGGTACCCCATTCTTCAAATCCCACCCTCACATTTCCCTGTTTTCTTATTTATTTATTTACTTTTTTACTGAGACGGAGTCTCACTCTGTTGCCCAGGCTGGAGTGCAGTGGCGTGATCTCGGCTTACTGCAACCTCCACCTCCTGGGTTCAAACAGTTCTCCCACCTCAGCCTCCCAAGTAGCTGTGATTACAGGCACGCGCCACCATTCCCGGCTAATTTTTGTATTTTTAGTAGAGGCGAGATTTCGCCATGTTGGCCAGGCTGGTGTCGAACTCCTGACCTCAAGTGATCCGCCCACTTCAGCCTCCCAAAGTGCTGGGATTACAGGCATGAGCCACCGCGCCCGGCCACATTTCCCTGTTTTCTGCATAGAGAAGTGGAGGCCCTGAGAAGCCAGGGGACTTGGCTGGTTGGTCTTGGGCCTAAGACTTGGACCAGGCCCCTGACTCCTGGCCTCCCTCTGGAAGGGAAGCAAGAGGGCCTGCCAGAATCCCAGGCTGGACTAAGATCTCCCTGGACTATCTATGAAGGCCCCTCCCTACCACACTCTCACCCAGGGTCTCAGCCCCCACCTGGAGGAAGGGAACTGAGGCCTGGGAGTCTGATCAAATGGGAAGGGGGAGATGCAGGCTGAGGAGTCTCTGTGAGGCAGCAGGAGAACCAGGGCCCTGGGGAAGGAAGTCCTGCAGGCATGTAGGCTGCAGGGCCAGCCCCAGCGCCAGGCTTCTGGGAACCAGTGCCGCTGAGGCCTGGGGGCAGCTCTGGAGAACAAGACCCCTGGGCTGTAGGAGCCTAACTGGTTTATGTCTTAAACTCAGATGTGGAGCAGTCATTATTTCCCAGCACCAGAGACAGCTGGTTCCTTTCTTTTACCCCCCTTCCAGCTGAGAATGGTAAACTTGGAGCAAGAAGGTAAGGGGGAGTCAGAGGCTCTGGATTTGTTACTCAGCCCTTCAAAGAAATGTTCTCAGCAGGCATGGAGCCCAGGACTTGCTCCCTTTGGGTAGAGAGCCGGGTTGAAGGTGACTGAAGTGAAATGGGACAGTAGAGGCGGGGGGGGTGGTGAGTTCCTGGAGGTGGGGGGTGTGGGAACCTGCTGTGTACTGAGATGCACCCCTGCCAGTTCTGCCTGAAGATTTGAGGCGGGGGGCAGGGGGGCGGAGTGAAGTCATTTTACTGGTAAGTAATTTTAAACCTTTTAATATTAAAGCAAACGTGGATATGTAATGAATGAAATTCATTCTGGAATGAAAAATTCACGTGATGTTGAAAAATAACACGGGGCTTCAGAGAGGACTTTCTGGCTGGCAGCAGACTCCAGATTCCCAGGGCCCCTGCACCCTCCTCTGCCCACAGGGCACCTTAATGGAGAAGGTGTGGGAGGAGAGCCAGGCCGGAGTCAGAGCACACTGGTGACTCCACATTTGCAGCGTGCCCTGCCTCTCTCCTGAGGCTTGGCAACGTGCAATATGCTAAGCAAACTCCCCCTGTCCCCGTCCAGTTTCTGAGGACAAGAGCCACCACCTGTAGCAAATAAAGACCCAGCAACCCTTTGACTCATCTTTGTGAGTCTCTGGAATCAGAGGGTAGCCACATCGCTGAGAGGTGGAGTGAAGCACTCGGGTGAAAAGGTACAAGGAAGTCAGGGACAGGAGTGTGGGGACATCACCTAGACAATGACAGAGAAGAGGGGCACAGCCGAGTGAGGGGAGAGGGGCCGGCAGTCCTACATCCCCTGGCCTGAAGCACGCTCCAGGGCAGAAGGAAAAACACTGTCTTTGGGGTCCAAGAGACCTGAGTTCAAATTCTGGCTCCACCACTGACCACCTGTGTAACCTTGAACTGCTGCTGCCTGAACCTCAGGTTCCCCTTCTAAAAATAGAGGAGAAAAGGATGCATTTCTCCTTGCCCCTGTGAGAACGAAATGGTGCAAGCACCAAGGAGCCTCAGCAAAGGTCGGGCCTGCCCCCGCCTGGCCAAACCTTTCCTCTTCAGGAGGCCACGGCAACCGTAGTTTGACAGAAGAGCAGCACCTTGATTTAATGCTTCCCAGCATGTGTCCTTGAGCAAGTCACCTAACCTCTCTGGGCTGCTTCCTCATTGGGAAAATATGGCTGCCAGTAAAACCTGCCCTGTCCACCTCCTGGGGCACTTGGCAAACAGCAAAAGAGTCCAAATGTGCAGGCTGGGCCAGGCGCAGTGGCTCATGCCTGTAATCCCAGCAATTTAGGAAGCCAAGGTGGGCGGATCACCTGAGGTCAGGAGTTTGAGACCAGCCTGGCCAACATGGTGAAACCTTGTCTCTACAAAAATACAAAAATTAGCCGGGCATGATGGCGGGTGCCTGTAATCCCAGTTACTCGGGAGGCTGAGGCAAGAGAATCGCTTGAACCCGGAAGGGGAAGGTTGCAGTGAGCCAAGATTGTGCCACTGCACTCCAGCCTGGGCAACAGAGCGAGACTCTGTCTCAAAAAAAAAAAAAAAAAAAAACAATGCAGAGCTGGCTGTGTAAAAAACCTGTTCCACTGCAGGGCCCAGTGTCCACCAGGCTGGGGTGCAGGCCTATGGGGTGGGGGCCCAGCATCAGCCTCTCAGCAGCCCTGGGAGGCGGGGCGCATCCCGTGCCCCTCGTGGTCTGGATGTGTTCTAGCCCAAGTCCTAGGTTACACCTGCCGTCGCCTGGCCTCTCAGGAGAGGCCCAGGGTGAGGAGGAGCATGGTAAAGGTGAAGCTGATTGGGAAGTCAGCTGTTGGGAAAGCAACTCCTTGCACATTGGAGGAACCGAGAAAGACTGACCCCGAGGACAGCAGCCAGCATGGCCCTTCCTGGGAGCCCATGTTGGGGGATTCCTGCTGCAGCCAAGGCTCAGCCCTTGTGGTCGCAGGTGCTGGTCCTGGCCTCTTCCCCTCCCATGCAGGAGCACAGGAGAGATGGCTTCTGAGGACCTGTTGCAGCTGTGGCCCTGGGAATAGATTTGCCAGGGAGCTTTAAAGCAGCTGAGTGTGTCATCCAGCTAAGCCTGGGGAAGGAGCTTGGCTCAGGTCCTGACAGGTGTGACAGGGATGGGGACTGGGAAGTAAGAGATGAAACCCTGGCTGGAGGCTGTGAGCTTCCACAGCCAGCGCTGGACAGGGAGGGTCCAGATATACCCACTAGTGCCCTCACCAGGTCCCACCCCCAAGCCCAAGAAATCCTGGGCTCTCTCCTCCTTTTGCCCCCAAGGACTGTCTGTCTTGGCCTTCAACAGGCATCTGTCCCTGGGTGCCTTCTGCCCCCTGGCATTGCCCTCACCCAAACCAGACTCCACCTGCCCCTTGCATGCCCAGGCCAGTGTGCTCCCTTCACGACAAACACTTTCCACTTCCTGAGCACTGACCATGTGCGGGAAGCCACCAGAGGAAGATGCCTTCTATTTCAGTCAAGTGTGCTGGAGAGAGGAGGCCACACATAATCACAGTAAATGTAGCACCGGCACGTCCTTCTTCAGGAACCCCCCGGGACTCCATTTTTTAGGGGACAAGATCTGAATTCCAGCCCCTCACCATCTGACCACTCCTTTCCCTGCTATGCCTGATGCCACCCCTTTGGCCACAGAAACCTCACCTTCTCACTGCTCCCCAAACACACTAGCCAGCCATTCCTCCTGCCCGCCCCTTACACAGTTCCACAGCCTGCCTTCTCTCCGCCTGCCCCAGCACCACAGCCCGGTAGAACCTAGCCTGAAAATGAAGCCCAGTTCAGCCACTGTGACCCACACTGGCCTTTCCCTTCTCCAACTGTCTCCAAAGTTAATAAAAATGAACTGATAAAGACAAGTTCCAAGCCCACCGATCACACACATGGGACTGCAGTGGTCTGCAGACCTCACTTTGAGAAGCATTTGTTGTCACCTGTCGGTACAGAACTGAGTATAACTATTCAGAAGCTTTTATGTGTGTGTGACAATGTTGCCACATCCACGTGCTGTGATTTTATATTTTACAACCGTATCATTTCTTGGTGCACTGAGAATTTAAAAATCTGGAACCAAAGCTTGAGCTTTCATCCCTGACAGTTTGAAAATGCACCGCCATTGCATAGTCGCTGAGCTGTGCCACACTGAGTTTGCCTGCCTCACTGAGGACAGAGACCAGCAGTAAAGGCTCATGGTTATGCAGCATGTTACTGCCTACAAAGGCGTTTTACAGGGGTTACCTTATTTGATGCTGACAAACCTGCGTGAGGTAGTTGGGGACCGCTTTCATTATCCCCACATTCAGAAGAAGAGACTGAGGTTCAGAGAAGATGATCAGGACTTGGACTTCACACCTCCCAACTGCAAAGCCTATGGTGCTCTTTCCTCCTTATCACTGCATCCGTGCAGTTTGGCTACTGGGTACCTACCCAGGGGTTCTCTGTCAGTTAATATGTGAATTCAGGGCTGCTGGAAAAAGTGTGTGGAACTGGTCCAAAAAGCATACAAAGAAAATGGAACTGAAGAGAGTTATTGACACAAATACCAGGGAGCCTGTGTGTAAGTGCCGAAGGCTGCAGGGGGCTGAGGGCAAAGAGGTGCGCCTGCTTAAAATCGGCAACGGCCTAGTTGTCTGCAGCACTGGCCAGAGAGCCAGGATGCTGCAGTCAGAGCCGGCAACAGGAAACAGGAAGTCAGCTGCAGGGCAGGGCGGGGCTTAGGAAGGGAGCTGGCACCTGGGCCAGGGCCTGCGGGCTGGCCAGTGCCCATGATAGGGAGGCGGGGGCTGGTGCGTGGAGCTGAGCCCGTGTGTGGGTGTGAGGTGGGGAGGAAGGGGCAGCCTCTAAGGATGTTGCAGGGTGACAAGTGTGGGTGTCTGAGGCTGGTTCCTGCCTGGTTGCCAGCCCAGACAGTCCTGCAGAGGCCTTTGTCCTTCATGGGTGGTTCCGGTTGGAGCCCTGAAGGGAGAGTTTCTGCCTTTGCCCACAAGGCCCTGGGGGGTGAGTGGCCCTGTGGGGCTCCATCCCCTATTTACTAGCGATGCGTATTTATTCATTGACGATTTATACCCACCAACTTCCTCCAGGGTTATTTTTGCTCAGAGGGAGCACTCTGAGGTCACCTCCTGCTAAGAATAACCCAGAATGGGAGGGAGGAGGAGGAGGGGGCTGGGCGCTGGTGCTGAGCTCAGCTGAGCCCAAGCTGGTGTTAGGGCTGACCCTCCAACACCGCAGGAGTGAGCCAGTCCAAGAGGGCAAACTGCCCCACTTCAGAGCAGATGACTTGGGGTAACCTAAATGGGGAAGTCAGGGAACCATTCTGCTGCAGGCAAAAGTCAGCTAGGTACAGCTTATGGCAGCTCTTGGAGGTTTGCAGCACTGGCTAGCTTTCCAGCCTGATAGGACCTTTGATTCTTCTCCAAGTTAAGACAGAGCTCAGCAGCCCTGCTTGTTTTCAGATCAGAGCCGCTCCTGGGCTAACCCTCCGGACCTCGGCTGGGTGATATGGTGCCCCTACCTTTTATGCATATAACTTCCTGACATCGTGTCTCCCACTCCTGGGCTGCAGCCCTTGGCCCACCCCTAGAGGTGGCTTTTCTTCCTGCGAGCCTGCATCAGTACACGCTGCTGCCCACTCTGTCTCCTCATGTTTTGGAAGGCATGAGGAAGACAGGCCGACACACTGCTTGTGAGGTAGAGCCTATGGTTATGAACCTTGCAGCTCCACCCACCCACTCCCCGACCTGAGCGGTGAAATCAACGCCCGCTACTGGAGTGCTGCATGGAAGGGCCTAGCCCATGGTGGGGACTTAAGTGCAGTGGGACTCCTAAGGATGCCGGGGAAGCCAGGGAAGATGGAGGAGGTGGGGCTTGACCTGGGCCTTAGAAGGGAGGTGACATTTGGAGAAGTCAAGGGGAAAGTGAGAGGCACCCCCGACCCCAGCTGAGCTGGGTGTGGAGGAAGGAAGGCATGCAGGGCAGGGTGAGTGTGGGGAGGCCCAAAGGCAGGGGCCATGAGCACACAGGCACAGGCCTGGCTGAGGGGACTAGGGATTCATTGAAAAATGTATACGGGGCTGGGTGCAATGGCTCACACCTGTAATCCCACCACTTTGAGAGGCTGAGGCAGGTGGATCACTTGAGGCCAGGAATTCGAGACCAGCCTGGCCAACATGGCAAAACCCCATCTCTACTAAAAATAGAAAAAAGCCGAATGTGGTGGCACATACCTGTGGTCCCAGCTGCCCAGGAGGCTGAGGCACGAGAATCGCTTGAACCTGGGCAGGCAGAGGTTGCAGTGAGCCGAGATTGTGCCACTGCACTCCAGCCTGGGCTACAGAGGGAGACTCTGTCTCAAAAAAATAAATTTTTATATATATATATAATAAATAGTAGCTGGGTATGGTGGTACACCTGTGGTCGCAGCTACTTGGGAGGCTAAGGCAGGAGGATCTCTTGACCCCGGGAGGTTGAGGCTGCAGTGAGCCATAATTGTGTCACTGCACTCCAGCTGGGTGACAGAGCAAAACCCTGTCTCAAAGAAAGAAGAAAAATCTTCTCAATCTTGATTGGAAAGGTAGTTTGCAGGCAGCCTGAGGGGCTTTTACTCTTTATCCTCTCTGAAAAATGTGTTATCTGGAAGGTTGTGAGGAGGCGGATATGACGTGATGGGAGTCGTGTTTGAGAAATTGGCTCTGGCACCCATGAGCATGGCGTTCATCCCTGAGCATGAGCACATGCTGGGAGAGGGGAGGGGGCAGGGGCGCCAGCAAAGTCCCAGGGCCTGTGGGGGGTGGCAGTGGCGGGGCAGAATTGGCCAAGCCTATGCTGCTGGCCCTGGGAACGCTGGAGAGGAAGGGGTGAAAGGAAGCCCTAGCAATGGCACAACAGGGACAGCATCAGCGTTGTTGTCAGAGACAAGGCTTCTGGAAGGGAGCAGATGGGGAAGGGGCCCCTGTCAAGGCCACCTTACATAGCTGGTCTTACTTGGGGAGCATTTAAGTAGAATCTCAGAATCTCCTTTTTTTTTTTTTCCAAAAATAATCCCTCTGTTTATTTTCATCTCTCCACATCCCAGGGCCACCTTCAGCGAGTCATTCATTCCCACAGGTCCTGGCCTTGGTGGCCTTCCTGGGGCCCCATGAGCTTTTCTAGGGCCCGGGCTCCACCTGCATTGTTCCTCCTGTTGCAGGTACGCGCCGGCACACCCATTGGAGGAGAGCTGTTGACATGGGCTTTCTTTCATCATCCCCACCTAGAGAATTTTGTACATTTTGGTTCTCCTACCTCAAGAAAGACATAAGCGAGTTGGAAAAGCTCCAGAGAAGGGCACTAAATTGATCAAGGGGAAGGCAAGGCTGCCAAGAGAGGACAGGCTAAAGAGATTAGGACTCCCCAGTCTGCAGAGACAAAGGCAGAGGATGTGATTAAGGCTATGAAATCATGTCGGGTGCGGCGGGCTGAGCACAGCACAGCTGGGGGGCAGAGGGAGGACACCCATTAGAAATTTCAGAAAGATAAATGAAGCACAGAAAAGATAGCACCATTTTCCATGGTGGGTTCCCTTCTTACCAAACCTGTCACCCTAGGATTGGCAGAAATTGAAAACAGAAGCAACTTCAAAAGAGATTTACTTAACGTATGGGATCTCTCATACGTAATGGCTTTTTTTGTTTTTGTTTTTGTTTTTGTTTTTGAGACAGATTCTCACTCTGTTGCCCAGGCCGGAGTGCAGTGGTGCGATCTCGGCTCACTGCAACCTTTGCCTCCCGGGTTCAAACAATTCTCCTGTCTCAGTTTTCTGAGTAGCTGGGATTACAGGCGTGCACCACCATGCCTGGCTAATTTTTTTTTTTAAGGGTCGAAGGGATTTATTGAAAATGAAAGTACACTACACAATGTGAGAGCAGGCCTGAGCATAGGGGGCTCAAAGGCCATTTTTTTTGTATTTTTAGTAGAGATGGGGTTTCACCATGTTGGCCAGGCTGGTCTCGAACTCCCAACCTCAGATGATCCGCCCGCCTCGGCCTCCCAAAGTGCTGGGATTACAGGCGTGAGCCACTGAACCCAGCCAGCATAATGGCTTTTTAAAGGGAGCCTCCAGCTCACTCTGAAATCCTTTGAGGTTGACTTCAAAGAGCACAACCAGGCCCTTTTCCAGGTGGACCAGTGTCCCCGCTGGAAACAGAACCCTGAGTGGGCCGGCCACTCACCACGCATGGTCATTCTGGCATCCATTTGCCATGGCTTGTGACGGCCTAGCCAGGCCATGGACTGAGTGACCTCTAAGGCTTTGCAGAGCCCAGAGTTCTCTCCTCAGACACACGGGTGGAGAGATCTCTGGGGAGAAGGGAGACAGGCAGCTCCCAGCAGATGTGGTAAGGGGAATGGTAGGACCTGGAGGGGGTGCCCAGGCTGGGACCAGAGTTTCCAGAGTCGGCCCTCTGTGGCCTCTGGTCCCGCCATCCCTGACCCCACTGGCTGCGCTTTTAGCCACCCCACAGGGAAAAGGGAAATTGGAGGAGTCAGGGTCCTAGCTCCATAGCGTTGGAGCTTGCTCCATCCACCCCAGGAAGGCCGAGCAAGGGGGCATCTGGGGACCCCCTGGCCCCTCCTGGAGTGGGCATGGAGCAGGCATCTCTGGCTCTCCCTACCACAGGCCACTTCCAGCTGCTATCAGATCTCTGGTGAGGGCCGCCAGGGGAAAGGGGGCTGCCGGAAGGGCGGGGGCGGGCAGTCATGGCCCCGTGCCAATGCTTCGGGGGCAGAGCTGCCCTGCTTACGTGGACATGCAGCTGTTTCCTGAAACTAGAGTCAACCTGGAAAAATTCAGGCTGGTTGAGGGGTGATGGGCCTGCAGAGCTGAGGAACTGGAAGGAGCGAGGAGTTGCGGTGGGAGTGGAGGGGCTCACTGGCGTGTTTGTGTTGGCATCACGCAGCTTCCTTGCACCCCTCTGTCCTGTGGCTGGCAGTGGGTGTCTGCAGGCGTGGGGGTGCCTCCTTCTCAAGTCTGTGCACGTGACGGTGAAGAGTCCGTGGCTGGCCTGATGCCAGGGTTCCCGGTTGGCATGGAATGGATCTCACAGAGGCATTAAAAGCACCATGGCAGGCCCGGCCCTCTGGGTGACCAAGGTGAGGTCGCCCCTGCATCTGCTGGGCTTTGGGGGAGAAGGCAAGAGGAGCTCCCAGTGGGAAAGGAAGAGGCAGGGGAGGAGGGAGAATGGCATCTACCCACCCCCCACCCCCACAGGATCCCCCTTCCCCGGTGATCGCTGCAGGTGGGCTGCAGCCTGGGGACAGGGCTTCTTGCCCCAGGTGCCAGGGCCTCATCTCCCCTGTGCCATGACCTTCACCTCTCCTCCTCCTGGATTTTAGTTTTTCTGTGTAAATAACTATAGTAAAGCAACACTTAAAAACCACTTCTGGCCGGGCGTGGTGGCTCACGCCTGTAATCTCAGTACTTTGGGAGGCCGAGGTGGGTGGATTACCTGAGGTTGGGAGTTCGAGACCAGCATGGCCAACATGGCGAAACCCCATCTCTACTAAAAATACAAAAATTAGCTGGATGTGGTGGCACACGCCTGTAATCCCAGCTACTGGTTGGGACTGAGGCAGGAGAATCGCTTGAACCCGGGAGGCAGACGTTGTAATGAGACGAGATCACACCATTGCACTCCAGCCTGGAGAACAGAGTGAGACTGCGTCTCAAAAAAAAAAAAAAAAAATCACTTCCATAAAATTAGCTGGATGTGGTGGCACATGCCAGTGGTCCCAGCTCCTTGGGAGGCTGAGATAGGAAAATCGTTGAATTTGAGGCTGCAGGGAGCTATGGTCACACCCCTGCACTCCAGCCTGGGCAGCAGAGTGAGACCTTGTCTCAAAAAAAAAATTTTTTTTAATTACTTCCATAAAAATAAAAAGTTAGGTGTGGTGGCAGGCACCTGTAGTCCCTGGTAAAACTGAGGCGGGAAGATTGCTTGAGCCCAGGAATTCAGGGCCACAGTGAGCCGTGATCGTGCCACCGCACTCCAACCTGAGTGACAAAGGGATATCCTGTCTCTTAAAAAAAAGAAAGAAAAAATCACCTCCCCATATTGGGAGTTTCAGACATTGCCCCACCCTGGGACGCAAGGCTTTGCCTGGAGTGAAGGAGGGGCAGGAGGTCTGGGTCTGGCCCAGACTTTGGGCAAAGGGGGAAGAGGAGGCGGCGGCAGGGCTGGGGAATTGGTTCCGGCTGGGCAGGCCACAGCAGAGGGCTCCTCCTTGCCTTGCCTCTGTCTTTTGCTTGAATTGAGCGCTGCTCAGGGGAGGGCCAGCAGCCTCTGCCCGGCCTTTCTTGGGCACTGCACTGCCACCTCTGCCTTCTCCAAACCCTGGGGGCATTTGTGAGCTTGCGCTTTTCTGAGACTCAACCCAGAGCGGGAGTCGGCCTTCAAATGCCTCGCCTGTACCTGAGCCATCCTGGAAGCTTTACTGATCAGAGGCGTGTGACCCAAGGCAGGCCTCAGAAAAGCGAGTATCGCTCCAGCTCCCCTAGGATCCCTGTGAAAATTACATTTATTAATTTTATAAGCATATGTATGCCCAGTCCTGTGTGGGATGCTAGAGAGCCATAGGTGGAGAGGCCTACAAAGTTAAATAAGATTGGCCGGGTGCGGTGGCTCACGCCTGTAATCCCAGCACTTTGGGAGGCTGAGGCGGATGGATCACCTGGGATCAGGAGTTTGAGACCAGCCTGGCCAACATGGAGAAACCCCATCTCTAAAAATACAAAAATTAGCCAGGTGTGGTGGCAGGCACCTGTAATCCCAGCTACTTGGGAGGCTGAGGCAGGAGAGTCGCTTGAATCCGGGAGGTGGAGGTTGCAGTGAGCCGAGATCGCGCCACTGCACTCGCCTGGGCAACAGAGCGAGACTCGGTCTCAAAAAAAAAAAAAAAAGTTAAATAAGGCAAGGCTCACAGTCGAGGAGGGAGGCCACAGTAAACAGATAATTAGATTCAGAGGTATGAATTGTAAGGAGATTGGGTGAGAAAGGGCTTTGTAAACAAACGTGGCATGCATTGGCTGGGACAGGAGTGACAGCTGCGGTGGGTTCACCCCCACCCTTCAGGGCAAGGCTGGGCCAGCAGCTGTCCACACCTGCCAACTACAGGGGGCTGAGGGGTCCAGATCCTTCCATTTAAAGGAGCATTCCTTTAAAATGCTCCTTAGAAGACAGAAAGTAGAAGAGTGGTGACTGGGGGAGAGGCAACTGGGAAGTTAGTGTTGAATGGAGACAGTTTCCGTTTGGGATCGTGGAAAAGTTCTGGAGATGGATGGGGGTAAAGGTTGTATAACCATGAGAGTGTACTTAAAGTATGCTTGAAAATGGTTAAAATGGTAAATGTTATGTATGTTTTACCCCAGGTTTTTAGAAGTTTAAAAAAGTGTTTCTAGGCCGGGCACAGTGGCTTACGCCTGTAATCCCAGCACTTTGGGAGGCTGAGGTGGGTGGATCATGAAGTCAGAAGTTCAAGACCAGCCTGGCCAAGATGGTGAAATCCCATCTCTACTAAAAATACAAAAGTTAGCCAGGCATGGTGGCAGTCAGCTGAGATAACACCACTGCACTCCAGCCTGGACAACAGAGCGAGACTCCGTCTCAAAAAAAAAAGTGAGCGATCTTGGCTCACTGCAAGCTCTGCCTCCTAGGTTCACACCATTCTCCTGCTGCCTCCCCAGCAGCTGGGACTACAGGCGCCTGCTACCACGCCTGGCGAATTTTTTGTATTTTTAGTAGATTCGGGGTTTCACCATGTTAGCCAGGATGGTCTCAATCTGCTGACCTCATGATCCACCCGCCTCAGCCGCCCAAAGTGCTGGGATTACAGGCGTAAGCCACCATGCCTGGCCAAAAAAAGTGTTTCTTAAGCCAGGCATGGTGGCTCATGCCTGTAATCTCAGCACTTTGGGAGGCTGAGGTGGGTGGATCACCTGAGGTCAGGAGTTTGAATCCAGCCTGGACAACATGGTGAAACCCCATCTTTACCAAAAATACAAAAAGTTAGCCAAGTGTAATAGCAGACACCTGTAATCCCAGCTACTTGGGAGGCTGAGGCAGGAGAATCGCTTGAACCCAGGAGGTGGAGGTTGTAGTGAGCCGAGATTGCACCACTGTGCTCCAGACTGGGCAACAAGAGCGAAACTCCATCTCAAAAAAAAAAAAGTGTTCCTTTGATAAAGACAGTCCCTGTCCTTGCCCCTACCCTCAGCCCAGGGTTTTTCAAAGACATTATTGCCATTTTGTCTGGACTAAATCTCTGTTGGGGGCGGGGGTGTCCTCTGTCTGGTGGGGTGTTTAGCAGCTTCCCTAGCCTCTACTCACTAGATGCCAGCACCTCACCCTAACCTTGTGGCAGCCAAAAATGTCTTCACACACATGCCAAAATGTCCTGGTGGGGAGTTAGCAAAATCGCCCCAGTTGAGAACTACGGCCTTAACCTGCCTCAAAAAGCTGCTCACAGGAGAGGACTGAGGAAAAGCCGGAGGCAAGGTGGGGGTTCTGCCCAGAAGGAAAGCGAAGATTGGCAAACTCGGAGGGACCCCAGGAAGTGGTGGGCAGGATTTGAAGACCCAAAGTGTGGTATACCGGGTGGGGGTAGGTGGACAGTGGGTGATAGGACCAAGCTGTACTGAAATCTAGAATGATACTAGATTCACAACCCTCCTGTGGCCCCCATCTGGCCCCCCACGGGAGGAGAAGTGATGGGTAGTTACTGCGGCTTTTCCCATTCTGAAATTGTCACCTGCAGCTGCACCTGCTGGTGGTGCCTTCTAGAATGGTCGGCACCCCCAACCCAGCCCTCTCCCAGATAATGGGCAACATGAGTATCTCGGGGGTGTGCTGTGTCTCTTTCAAGATGACTGTCAAAAGCAAACAAAAGCAGATTGTTTAACAGACATGGCAGCAAAGCTGAAACTCCCTCTAGCTTGAGTGCAGGAGGTTCTCACTTTTAGCCTCGTCTTTGCCATTCACGAATCAATTGTGAATATTGTCTGAGCACCTGTCAGGTGCCCCACTCCCTGCTAAGTCTAGCCGGATCGAGCAAAGTCTCTGCCCTCCAGATCGAGCAAAGTCTCTGCCCTCCAGAGGTCAACAAGCTGTGGAGACAGGGGAAAGGAGGGGAGGAGAGTGGCTGGGAGGAGGACATGGAGTTGGGGGCAGAAGAGGCCAGGCCTGGCTGGGGTGCCCCTCCCTCCTGGGCTTCCAGGCTGAGGTTTCTGCCCTTCTCACCAGGGATGGCTCCTTCAGTGAGCACCCAGCTCTTCCCCAGAGACTTGGACAGTTGCTTCAGGCCATTTGACTGGGACCTTTTTCCTTCCTCTGGATGGTTTTGTCCTGCTGGTCACCCTGAGCCCCAGAGAGCCCCATTGAGGGGCCACACTTAGCTTGAGGGAGTTCTTGATGGGTAGGATGAATCAAGGGTTGAGCGTGGCAGAAGTCATTGCCCTCCCCCCCAAATCCCAGAACTTTGGCTGAATCATCTCATCCAGAACCTGAGAGAGCAGGTGAGCAGGAGGGGATGGTTGGGCAGAGGATGGTGTGGACCAGATGCGGGAGTGGGGATTTCAGCGGGTGAGCTAACCCGGGGCTGGAAATGTGCAACATGCCCCGCTCGCCCATCATCTGCCCAGCATGCCCGGCTCCCACCTGGCTTTGGGGGCATCTCTGGGAGAATGGCGCATCTGGTGCTGTTGCAGACTGGGGTCCGCGGGCAAGGCCAGGGCAGGGCTTACTCTTGTGCATGAAGGACTGGGTTGGTCGGGAGCCTGGGGCTGTGTTGGGCCTCAGAGCCGGCCCTCATAGGTCTCTATGCTACGGAGCCAGCAGTCAACAGGAAGTGAGTCCCAGCATGAGAGGAGGCCATGTGGTCCCAGGCAGGAAGTGAGTGACAGTGGAGTTGCCTCCAGCAGCTTTGCGGGGCTCAGAGCCTGCCCCAATCTGAGGTGTCTGCAGGGCAGCAAATGATGAGAAGAAAGGAAGACGCAGCCATGAAAAAGTCTGGCTCTGACCTAAGCTTCTTAGCTCAAGTTAGCCAGGCAGGACCCCACGCATACCTCTATGGTAGTGCCATGTTGGGGGCTTTGGGGTACCTGGAACAGCTGGATCCCAGAAGGTGGCTGCAGTGCAGGGGTACACTCCACTTTTCAGGCTGCTGGGGCTCATGACTGAGCCTTGAAGGGTGACAGACAGGGTTTACACCAGGGAGGACCATTCTAGGCTGGAAATGCCCTCTTTGCTTAAGCAGGGAGGGAGGAGAGGTGTTCTGAGTTCTGGGGAGGGTCCTGACACACAGGATGGAGGCAGGGGTCTGCCGTTCCACTTTCCTTCCCGGATTTGGCCTTCCTGGCTCTGCTGGCATCAGCCCAAGCCCCCAAGCACAGTGGAGGACTTCTCGCTTTTACCAGTCACCTCCTCTTCCTCTCGTTGCAGCCCCCTGCCTCCAACTGCTGAGGAGTACACACATGCAGCTTTCTGTGGGTGCTTCCCTCCTGGAAGCAGGCCTGCCCAGCTGCCCCGCACAGCAGGAAAGGAGCTTGGCAGGCCCTGCAGTTCCTTCTGCTCCCTCTCCGGCTGCTCCCTGTGCCCGGGTCCCCATCCAGGGAGGAAAGCATACCTGAGAAGACTCTGGTTTTGTTTTTGTTTTTGTTTTCCCAAGGCCCTTGTCCCTAATTGCCACCTCTGGGCGTTCCTTGCCAAATAACAGTGGGTTGAGAGTTCAGGTCCTAGACCGTTAGAGCAAAAGCAGCCTTGGAAATAGGGCTTTGCAGGGGAGGGGCTGGGGACCCAGTGCTGTCTCAGGCTGTGCACTTGAGTGGTGGGAAACTCTGGAGGGAATTTGGCAGTATCTCTGCACATTTAGCTGGACAGGCCCTTTCACCCGGCCTGACCACTTCTGGAACTCCGTCCCATGGAAACACGCAGCTGTACAGAGCTGTAAGTGCAAGGGTGTTCACTGCAGTGAAAAGCAAATCAGCCCAAATGCCCACCATCAGGGAACGGCATGCATACATTTTGGAGCATCCAGATCCATCTGCACTGGGATGGAGGGATGCCCACTCTGCTTGTTAAGTGAAAAAGCAAGTTGCAGAACATTACGACTAGTATGATACCCTTTTGGAAAAAAACATTTCTGGATCTGAATGTGTATATGAATACATATGTATAAACATGTAACTTACACATGATTGTCAATGCATAGGAAAAAATCTGGAAAGGATGCTCACTGAACTGTTAATAATGGGTACCTTAGGGGAGAGATTTTGGGGGTAGGGAGCTGAAATAGGAGCTTTAACCTTTTAGCATTATTTTTTTTTTTTTGTATAGTCTTTTTTTTTTTTTTTTTTTTTTTTTTTTTTAGATGGAGTCTCACTCTGTTGCCCAGGCTGGAGTGCAGTGGAGCAGTTTCAGCTCACTGCAACCTCTACCTCCTGGATTCAAGTGATTCTCCTGCCTCAGCCTCCCAAATAGCTGAGATGACAGGCATGCACCACCACACCCAGCTAATTTTTAGTAGAAACAGGGTTTTGCCATGTTGGCCAGGCTGGTCTCAAACTCCTGACCTCAGGTGATATGTGAGGGAGCCTGCCTCAGCCTCCCAAAGTGCTAGGATTATAGGCGTAAGCCACCACGCCTGGCTACAGTTTGATTTTTTTATGATATATGTGACTGACTTTTATAAGTAGAAAAAAAAAGACAAGAAAGACAAAATCTCCATTGGTCTAGACCAGTCATCTCCACCTGACAGGTGGGGAAACTGAGATGCTGAGAGCAGTGCCTTCCTTATCTGAGGCTTGCCGTGCTGATGCTGTCCCTGCCTTTCTACTGGGTAGGTGTTCTGCATACGGAGCCAGCGAGGCAGAGTTGCTGAGTGCAGCCTGGTGCCTGTGGGTGTGGCAGAGTGCCGAGCCATGGGGACCCCTGCCTGTTCCTGTCCCACACTGGACACCTCCATTCTTCTTGAGGTGTCCTGGCCCACTTGCCTCTGGATGGCTGAGGACTGAATATATATACACAGCAGAGCACACAGCAGGCACCCGGCTCTCCTGCTCTTGCTTTGTCCTTGCAAAGCCTGTGACCTGGAGCAAATCACAAAATTCCAGAGAGCCTCAGGTTCCTCACCTGCTTCCCAGGGAGGCTGAGAAACTCTGAGGAGGTAGTAAGTGAGGAGCTTTGTCCACTGCGCAGTGACACACACAGACAGCCAGGATTATTCTTTATTTGATTTTTATTACCTGGAACCTTAGCGAGTTCAGTTCTTAGACTCTAGGGGATAAAGAAATGATTTCCCTTGAAGGGAGAATGAGAGACCCCAGTGCTCAGGAAGAGTTGTTGCAGAGCCTGAAAACTGTTTGCCAGAGCCTTGGCTCTTCTGGGTCTGAGTGCCTGAAAGAATCTGGGGCGGCCCAGGCCAGGGGAGAAGGCTACGCTAGGCTATGAGCCTACAGAATGGTTTTTTGGGGGTCCTCCTTCGACTCTCATGCCTCAAGAGACCAAGAGGAAAGCTGGGAGGGCACTGACCACAGAAGTCAGACCAGCCTGAGTCCCAGACTTGATCTGGTGGCACTGGAATCTTCTAAGGGAGAGGGGGGTCTTATTGGATTATGGGTGGCACAAGGAGCTTTTTTTTTTTTTTTTTTTTTTGAGGCGGAGTCTTGCTCTGTCGCAAGGCTGGAGTGCAATGGCGTGATCTCGGCTCACCGCAAACTCTGCCTCCCAGGTTCAAGCGGTTCTCCTGCCTCAGCCTCCCGAGTACCTGGGATTACGGGCATGCACCACCATCCCCAACTAACTTTGTATTTTTAGTAGAGATGGGGTTTCTCCATGTTGGCCAGGCTGCTCTTAAACTCCCGACCTCAAGTGATTCACCTGCCTCAGCCTCCCAAAGTGCTGGGATTACAGGTGTGAGCCACCACGCCTGGCCGGAGCATTTCTTTTTTAACAGGGGCTGCAGAGAAGGCTTGGACGTCCTATGTAACCTCAGTGAGTGGCGGTGGGATGGGGGAGCCGATCCCTTGAGAAGTGCAACCAGGCTGGCAAACCTGCTTGGATTCTTTTCCTGTTTCTGAAGCTGGAGTCCACAGACTCGTGATTTCAAGGGGTCAAGCCCAGGAATCCTTTGATGTTGAAAGCAAAATTGTGAATGTATCTGTTTGCATGAAGGTTTATATGAACACAGTTTCTGGACAGAAAGTGCATAACATTCTCTAGAATTTCAGAGCGGTCAATGATCCAAAACAGGCTAAGCCCACTGATCTAACCCTCCTCTTGTGTATCTTTCTTACATTTGCAGGTGGAAAGCGGTGACACGCCAAAGGACCCTGCGGTGATCTCCAAGTCCCCATCCATGGCCCAGGACTCAGGCGCCTCAGAGCTATTACCCAATGGGGACTTGGAGAAGCGGAGTGAGCCCCAGCCAGAGGAGGGGAGCCCTGCTGGGGGGCAGAAGGGCGGGGCCCCAGCAGAGGGAGAGGGTGCAGCTGAGACCCTGCCTGAAGCCTCAAGAGCAGTGGAAAATGGCTGCTGCACCCCCAAGGAGGGCCGAGGAGCCCCTGCAGAAGCGGGTGAGTCCTCAGCACCAGGGGCAGCCTCTTCTGGGCCCACCAGCATACCCTGAGAGTCAGGGACTTGGCTCTCCAGCAGGTCCCAGGAAGGATGGTCTGGGTCGTGGCTAAAGGTCTGCTTGCCAAGGCTATGGCCTGGAGGCTACTGGCTGGATGCAGCCTGCGCATATGTTTTATTTGGCCCATAGAGTGTTTTAAACATTTAAAAAATTAGTTGCCAGTATTTAAAAATCAAAAAATTTCACATAAAAATCTGGAGTTTTGGCTTCTCATGAAAAAAAAAAAAGCTAGATCTGGCAACAGCGGGCTTTCATAACGCCAACGATTGCTAGACTGGGATAATGGCGGTCCCTCCATCGCCTTCTGTGGCTGGTTGTGGGCCTTAGTTTTCTGCAGCTCTACCTGGCCTGCTTACTCTCCCACGTGCCATGCAGTTCCTGGGGGTTGCTGTATTTGTAGCCCCTGGCCTGGGCACTCAAGGGCAGCAGATACCCTGTTTGCCTCCCTGAGTGCAGAGGTCCTGAGCCCACCCTAGTTGGGCTGACTCAACTGGAAATTTGGTTGTGACAGTGGCGTGGGGAGAGGGCTGGGTGATTGTATTCTGTGTACTGCCCAGCCCAGGCCTCTTCATCTGGGGACTTTTTGGCCTAACCCTGGAAGCCTGGAAAGTTGCCCACTTTTCTCTTTCAGGTTAAGCCAGCAATTTCAGGGCCAACCGAGCTGTAAACATGTTAGTAATGAGGACAACTAGCATTTGTACAGGGCTTCACAGTTTACAAAGCGCTTTCTCATACATTATCACATTTGATCCTCCCAGGGCCCTGCCAGGTTGTTTTGCATATGTGCATTTTAATTTCAAAAAGTCTTCCTTCCAAGCGTGTATGATGAAATGAGTAAATTGATTAATTGGCGTAACTTATTTTGCATGGATCCAACCTAATGTTCATGCAGGATAGAGAACATTTCCAGAATACAAATTTCCAAACTTATTAAGAAGCTTTTATTCATTTATTATTCGACAAATATGTATGATGCTCCCACTATGTGCAGAACACTACAGAGGGAATCTGTATTAGTTGTTTTATTTACTCCTCTAACAATCTTATTCAAGAGATATGATTATCCTCATTTCAGGAGAAAAATATTGAGGCTTAAAACAATGATGTGACTTGCTCATGGAGCCCCAACCTTAAGTGGCAGATCCAGGGCTCATTCAGTCCTGGTCTTGTGCCTTTCTACTATTTTCCGCTGTCCTGGAATGGGACTTGGTGCGGAGACGGGTCCTGAATTGTCTAGGCCTCTTGCACATATTCTGATACTTCCCGAGAGTGGGAAGGGCCTGAGGGGAGTGAAACAGATGAGGAAAGGGAGAAGACACCATCCTTCCCATTAACAATGCCAGGTGTGTGAGAGAACCCATCAGCCCTGCCCTTCCAAATGTGGTGCTTCCCATGGGCTGACTGCAGTTGACTTCGCTTCCCAGGACCCCACCATGACTCCTGCCGAGCTGCTACCCAGGGTCACGGCATTCCTTCCTGCCCTGAAGCATGGAGCCATAGCCCCAAAGCTGTTCTCTGGCCTTGAGGGTTTGTTTTCACTTTGGGATTTCCCTACTTCCATTTCTAGCTGTTCTCAAGGGCTCCTGCATCGATCAGTCAACAGGTGTTTCTTAAAACACCCATTCAGGGTGTGCTAGGATCCATACCAGGGACTGGGGAAACTATTATGAACAAAAACCTGCTTCTTGCCCTCAAGGACCTCACAGTCAGCTGGAGAGACAGACATTAATGAGAAATCCACCCTTAAAAAGATGAGATTACACATGGAGATAAGCGCTCTAAGGGAAGTGAAACATGTCCAGGGGAACTGCAACGAAGAACCTGAGTTGGCCTGGGCTGTCCAGCGCGAGCTGAAGGGCGAAGGGAGTCCACTGGGTGAGGGGTAGAGGGAGAGAGTGAGAACAGGGAAGAAGGCTCCCAGGTGGGAGGGAGCAGGGCACCCAGGGAACTGATAGATGTCACAAGGCTAGAGTGCAGAGAGCAAAGGAGAAGGGTGTGGAAAGTGCTGGGGCAGACAGGCCAGGCCTTCAAAGGTGGCTGCCGGGGTGGGGGGTGGGGGGGCGGGGAGGCGGGGGGTGGGGAGGCGGGGAGTGGGCAGTGTGTGTGATGTAATCAGCTTTGCAATTTGAAAAGCTCATGTCATCTGGATCCTGGGATGGAATGGAGGAGCTGGGAAGCAGGATGACATCGGAGGGGCTGATGAGCAGGATGGCAGCAGAGATGAAGGGAGGGGACAAATGCCAGGAACATGAGAGGTGAGGGAGAGATGCTGTCAAGGATGATTCCTGGGTCTGGGACTTTCAGACAGGTGGATCTTCCTTAGAATCTTAGTGCTGAGTGTGGTGGGCAAAAACTCTTTAAGTCTCCTTGACCTCCAAAATTTGGCCTTGAGGCTGGGCACAGTGGCTCATGCTGGTAATCCTAGCACTTTGGGAGGCCCAGGCGGGCAGATGACTTGAGGTCAGGAGTTCGAGACCAGCCGGGCCAACACAGTGAAACCTTGTCTCTACTAAAAATACAAAAAAAAATTAGTCGAGCTTGGTGGTGCATGCCTGTAGTCGCAGCTACTCCGGAGTCTGAGACAGGAGAATCACTTAAACCCGGGAGGTGGAGGTTGCAGTAAGCCAAGATTGTGCCACTGCACTCCAGCCTGGGCAATAGAGTGAGACTCCATCTCAAAAAAATACAAAAAAAAAAAACAAACTTTGGCCTTGGTACACTCCTGTGTGGTCCCAGCTATCCAGGAAGTATAGATTCTGGCAGGGATCAGAGCTGGTAGGATCCCTGAAGGCCACTGCACTGCCTGGAAGCTGAAATTGGTGAGATGTTACCTCGCGGGGTGGGCAGTGGCCTAGGCTCTGCCAATATGCAACGGACAGTGGCTTAATCAGGGTGTGGAGGCTCGGTCACGGTTCCAGCAGTCAGCTGACATAGAACACATGCTCAGCTGGTTGATTCAGATGAGGAAGGAGACTAAGGCCCCGGAGAGGATGTGGCTCGGCCGTGGTCTCCTTTCAGTTCCCCTTATTCCAGGTCTCTTTTCAGGGGATGCTCTCCTGGAACCCCTTTCATTAGCTCCTGTACAGCAAAAACAGACTTTTTAAGGCAGCGTTTCTTGTAGCCTGAGCATGTGCTGAAAGTACAGCCAGGAGAAAGAATCAGGAAGACGGGAGATGATGAGATGAGTGATAGGGACAGGAGCCAACACCCGACAGGCCTGTGCTTGTCTTGGGTCTGTTCCTGCCCCCGCCAGCATTAATGCCATAATGATGATGATTCAGGTGGCAGTGGCGATGTGGCTTTCCCTTATTGAGTATTGACTGTATTGGGCATTCTCTCTCCTCGCTACTCACAGTGGTCCATAGACCAGCAGTGTTGGCAGCACCCAGGAATTTAGAAATGCAGAATTCCAGGCTCCACTGAAGACCTGCTGGATCAGAATCTGCATTTTAAAGAGGGCCTCATGCTTCCCATGTATATGAAAGTTTCAGAAGCTCTGCTGTGTATTATGCCCCATGTGTGATCACGGGAGGAAGATTTTTTTTTTTTTTTGAGACAGCGTCTCATTCACTCTGTCGCTCAGGCTGGAGTGCAGTGGCACAATCTTGGCTTACTGCAACCTCCACCTCCCAGGTTGAAGCGATTCTCCTGCCTCAGCCTCCGGAGTAGCTGGGATTACAGGCGCCAGCCACCATACCTGGTTAATTTTTGTAATTTTAGTAGAGACAGGGTTTCGCCATGTTGGCCAGGCTGGTCGTGGACTCCTGATCTCAAGTGATCTGCCCACCTTGGCCTTCCAAAGTGCTGAGATTACAGGCATGAGCCACTGCACTCAGCCTGGAAGACTCTTATTATCCTCATTTTTCAGATGGGGAGACTGAAGCTTCAGAAAGGTTAAATTACTTACCCAAGATTATGCAACTGGTGAGAGACCGGATTAGGGTCAGCACAAAACCCCTCTCTACTCTGAGCATAGGGCCCCTTTTCAGGCCAGTGACTGCCCTCTGAGGTAAACCTGGCTACAGCCTGGTCATGGAGATTTGAGTTCATTTTAAAGAGAACTTGGGTGGCCTCTGGCTGAGTATAGCTCAGACTCGAAGGCGAGTGTTAGAAGCACCCTGGCCTCCCCTGCCCCCAAGTCCTGAGATGCACTAGGGTCATGTTCGGGCCTGTCAGGGCCACACTGGAAGGTCACAACCACCTGGCCCTGGCGGTGACCCTGGGCCTGGGCCAGGAGCAGTTGGGCTGCATAGGCCGTACTGAGAGAGCAGCTGACCCTCCCTGACTCACGACAAGTGCCGCATTCCGAGGCGGCCCGGCCAGGCTGGAAAGCGTGTGTGTCTGTGTGTGTGTGTGTGTGTGTGTGTGTGTGTGTGTGTGATCACTCAAGTGGGCATGCGCAGAGTCTGTCAGGGAGAAAATTCCAGAAAGAAGCCAGTTGGAAACTGCATAGGGAAAAATCGTTCTGTTTTGGGGAGCTTGGGGGGCTGGGAAATTAGGAAGGGGGTCACATTGAGAAATAACAGTAGTGGTGCAGCGGAGAGGGAGCTTGCCGGGGCATCAGGACCCCTGAAAAGCTCATCTCAGCTCCGGCCTTAAGTCACTCCACCCCCCAGGTCTCAGCTTTCTGCAAAATTTAAGTGCTGAACAAGTACTCAATGATCTCTGCAAAGCCTTTCAACCCTGATTTTCTAATATTCTAATGAATAAATAATTATCCGTAAAAGTAATTAAATGCCATGGAGGGTCCCAAGTAGGAAACGTTTGAGGTTCTAAAGCGGGCTGGGGAGAAAATGCAGTCGGAAGCCCCAAGTCCAGGTCCGAGAGCCAGCCCGGGGGTCCTCCACTCCCCGCCCTAGCCGCAGGGCTGACACAGTGGTTCCCAGCGCCACCGCGAGCCCCGGAGCCCCGCCGCGTCAGGGTCCGCCGGGACCGCCAGGCCGCCCCCAGGCCGCCACCTGATCGCGAGCAGGCGCCCCCTGCTGGGAGCCCGGGGCCTCACCGGGCAGAGCAACGAGGTCTGGGAGGAGGGGGAAGCCCTGGCCTGGGAACGGGGAGGCCCCGGACAGGCTGGAGGGGGCCCCCGCGAAAAAAGTGGGGAGCTGGCTGTGGTGGGAGAGAGGACGGAAAGGAAACAGGGAGGCAGAGCCAGACAAGATGGGTGAGACAGCCCTTAAAAGGCCGGTCACGAACAAAGCGCTGGCGAGTGCGCGCCCGCCCACGCGCACAGGTGCCCGCGACAAGACGCCCCGTCCCCGCCCACGCGGCCCCCGCGGGCTGAGCCCGGCGCCAGGCCCGCACCCACGGTGGCCCTCCTGCCTCCCTCCCCCTGGTGCTCCCGGGCCTAGCTAGCGGGAGTCGCTGTCACCAGGGACAGAACCACGGAGGACAGCGCTGTCCTGGGCGCCCGGGGTCAGCCCAAAACCAGTCCAGGACCCCCCTGTCACGAGGGAAGGGAGTGGCCTCCCGGGCTGAGGACCCGCGGCGTGAACACTGTGGCTGGCTTCCGCTTCACAGCCAGGAGATGAAGTCGGGGCTGTTTTTTCCGTTTCAGGCTCTTTGTCTCCCCCCACCCCAAGCTACCATGAGCCAGCCTTAGTGACCTTCCTGCAGTGGGCCCAGGCCCGATACGCTGTCGGTTCCCGACAAAGAAGCTCAGGGGCCCAGGTGGAAGGAGGGCTCACTTCCCCACCTCCAGCAAGAAGCTATGGGAGGCAGAATCAGCCAGCCCCGCAGCCTCCGGGGCGCTGGGCCTGGAAGGGGTGCCTGGAAAGGGTGGTGAGGACCTGGTGGGGAGTGCAGGGGGATGCCTGGGAGGAGCGCAGCTCCCCTCATGCTGGGGGCTTGGAGAAGCACAGGGAGAGGGCAAGGTCTCAATAGGGAAATTGAGACTTCCCTGCCAGGACCTGGAATCAGGGCCCAGTAGAGGAAATGAATCCTTAGGGAAGGAGAACCACACTAACATGTATTGAGCACCTACAGTATGCCAGGCCCCACAGTAGGCACTTAATGCTCACCATAACCTAATGATTTTAGAACATTTATCTACCTTGATTCAGTGGGAAAACAGGCCAGGAGAGGTTACAGAGGTCACACTGGAATCCAAACTCAAGTCTTCTAGATTAAAGGCTGAGCTCAGGGGCCTGAGCATGGGGCAGGGAGTGGAGGGACGGAGAATGAGATTAGTAATAGAATCATAATATTTGGACCTGCAGGCGGACCTTGGAAATCGCATCCAGCATCCTTATTTTCCAGATGAGGAAACTGAGTCTCGTAGAGAGGAAGTTGCTTCACCGGGGTCTTGTTCCAGTTGGCCCGGTACCCACCGCCCCCCAGTACATGCCCTTATGCCCAGAAGGCCTCTGCAAACACTCCCTTGCAGGGCCAGGGAGGCCGCTCAGGCTGGCCCTCTGGCCCAGGCCTTCCTGCACCCCCTCCTCCTTCCGCACCCCCTCTGCCTTCCTGCTCCTCCTTTGGGGAAGGAGGTCTCTTGACTGGGAGCAGCAGAATGGGGGTATTTTTAGTCCCCTTCTGTGTACCTGAGACAGAGTTGACAGGCCAGAAACCCAGCTCTGAATTTCCTCGTGTTCCCTCTTGCCTGGGCCTCAAGGCCTGCCCCTGCCCGAGTTCTTTCTCTGCCCTAGGCCCTGCTGGGTCCTCAGGGTCAGCACTGTGCCTGGCATGTGGTGGGCCATCATATTTAACACATGAACAGCTAAACGGCCAGAGGACCCCCATCCCCTGTGGCAGGGACCCCAGGCACAAGGTGGGGCCTGTGAGCCACTCCAGTAATTCTGCCGACCAACGAACTGGTCCCTTTGTTCTTCCCTCTCCACAGGCAAAGAACAGAAGGAGACCAACATCGAATCCATGAAAATGGAGGCAAGTGTTCCACCCCCAGGGGCTCTGTGGATCCTGATTCTAGAAGAAGGACACGGGTGGCGAGTGTGTGTGAGGGGGCGGAGGGTGGGCCCCTCCTCCTTCTTTACACATCCCTCTGTGGGAAGGAGAGGAAGTGGGCGTGGAGGTTGGAAGTCCCCCAACAAGGCAGCCGGCTCATCCCCCTCCAGAGGCCAGACGCCTCCCTTCGTGGCCTGTGGCCGTGTCCATGTGCCCCCCCACCCCCGCCACACATGCCCCTCGCTCCTCCAGCCCACACGGGGCCTGCCCAGCACTCCCAGGGGTGCCCTCTCTGGCCAGGAGCCAGTGTCCACATTGTGTTTGAGGCGAGTGCCTCCTTGGTGGGTCCGTCAGTGCCCACCCTAATGCCCTAATGTCTGTCTCTCTGTCCTAGGGCTCCCGGGGCCGGCTGCGGGGTGGCTTGGGCTGGGAGTCCAGCCTCCGTCAGCGGCCCATGCCGAGGCTCACCTTCCAGGCGGGGGACCCCTACTACATCAGCAAGCGCAAGCGGGACGAGTGGCTGGCACGCTGGAAAAGGGAGGTGAGGCGCCTTCTGGCCTGGGCCCCAGCCCGTCCTGCAGAACTGGAAAACCAGAAGTGATGGGCCTCAGTTTCCCCTTCAGGCTAACCCTTAGAACTTACTGGGAGCCTCTTAATCTCTAGTCATGATGACTGGTTCATCTGCTCCTTCAGCAGATGCTTATTGAACACTTACTGTATACCTGGCTGTGTACTAGACCCTGGGCGTATACGGTTCCTGCTCTCATGGAGTTGACATTCTGATGGGGGAGACAGGCAGAACATAAAGAAACAAGGGGCTGAAATAGAAGATAGCAGAGGCCTGCTTTAGTTGGGGTGGTCAAGACAGGCTTCTTGGAGGAGGTGGCATTTCAGTTAAGGTCTGAAGGAACCGAAGAGCTGGCTCTGTGAGGAGTGGGGTCAGGGAGAGTGTTCTAGGCAGAGGAAACAGCACCAGCAAGGCCTTGACTTGTTTGGCAAACTGTATGCCAGGGTGAAATGGCAAAGGAGAAAGGGCCAGATGCAGCCAGAGAGGCAGGCGGGGCTCCACACATCAGTTGGAGACCTGCAGAGTCTGCCCAAAAGCTGGCTTACTTCTGACAATACTGGGCAGCCATAGAAGGTTTCTGTGCACAGGAAGGATGTGATGTGGATTTGAGAGGCAGCAGTGGAGACAGAGAAGAGCTTTGGGGTGTATTTTGGAGCTAGAATAGCTAGGGCTTGCTGATGGACCGGCAGGGAGGGGAACTGGTGGACTCAAGGAGGACTCACAGGGGTCTGGCCTGAACACCTGGTGATGGTTGTGCCATTTGCTCAGATGGGAAGACCCAGGGGAGGATGAGTTTGGGACAGGTGGGAATTGAGGGCTCCGTGTGAGATGCCAGGTGCCTGGAGTCTGGGCTGTAGGGAAGTACGGGCGACAGAGGTGGGATTTGAGAGCAGAACCCTGGCATTTAAATCCATGGGAACTTAAGGGCTCAGCAAGGGGAGAAGGAGGAGAGACGAAGTCTCAGAACATGTCCATGAAAACCCCGACATTTCTGGGCCACATGGAGAGGAGGAGTGGCAGGCAGTAGGGACTGAGGGAGAAAGCAGTACAGAGCGGTGTCTGGGGAAGCACGGGGTTTTCCCAGAGGGTGGCTGCCCAGCCCTAGGGAAAGCTGAATTCACTGAGACATGCCCATGGCGTTGGACAACCTGGAAAGGAGCTGGTGACTTTATAGAGAAGCTTCTGTGGGGGTCGGGGAGGTGGGAACAGCCCGTGGAGGGCTTCAGCCATGCAGAGAGGTGAGAAAATGGAGGCTGAAAGACTGAGGAGGGAAATCAACTCGCCACGCACAATTTTTGAGCTGTCTTGTATGTTTGATTAGTAGAGAACTGGGTACAAAGAGAAGTGGGTGGTGACCTAGCTGCACAGGAAAAGAGAGGAAACTGCCACCACGTGGGGCACTTCACGTGAACTCAGCTCTCATTTCGTCTTTACCCCAGGCCTCCAGGGGAAGGCGGCCCTGTTTGTCTGTTCGCCTTTGTGTGAGAGCTTTCTCTAGAGAAAGTGCAGAACAGAGGCCAGGCGCGGTGGCTTACACCTGTAATCTCAGCACTTTGGGAAGCTGAAAGGAGGTCAGGAGTTCGAGACCAGCCTGGCTAGCTTGGTGAACCCCTGTCTCTACCAAAAATACAAAAAATTAGCCAGGCGTGGTGGCTCATGCCTGTAATCCCAGCACTTTGGGAGGCTGAGGCGGGCGGATCACCTAAGGTCAGGAGTTCGAGACCAGTCTGCCCAACATGGCAAAACCCTGTTTCTACTAAAAAGACAAAAAATTAGCCGGGCATGGTGGCAGGCGCCTGTAATCCCAGCTACTCAGGAGACTGAGGCAGGAGAATCACTTGAACCCGGGAGGCGGAGGTTGCAGTGAGCTGAGATCACACCACTACACTCCAGCCTGGACAACAAGAGCAAAACTCTGTCTCAAAAAAAAAAAAAATACAAACAATTAGCCAGGTGTGGTGGTGCGTGCCTATAGTCCCAGCTACTCAAGAGGCTGAGGCAGGAGAATTGCTTGAACCCGACAGGTGGAGGTTGCGGTGAGGCGAGATTGAGCCACTGCACTCCAGCCTGGGCAACAGAGCAAAATTCCGTCTCAAAAAAAAAAAAAAAAGAGAAAGTGCAGAACAGGGTGGGGGTTCTGGCTGCTTGATTGTTTTCTTTTCCTCTGGGATCCAGGAAGGCAGAAATTACTTTCCCGGAAGAGCCCGGAGAAAGGGCAGCCTGTCTGAGGTCTGGGAGGAGAGGCACTTACCCCTGTGCGTGGAATGTTGTGTTTGGGGTGGAAATTCAGGAATGGGGCTCTTCTCTCCAAGTCAGTCGCTGCACTCCTGGGTTCCCCGCAACCCAGAAACAGGGGCTTTGCTTTTTAGCTCCTGGTTCTGTGAGCGAAGTGTTTCTGTTCTCATTTAGCCCTGGGGCAAGAAGCTTAGACTATGACTTTTAGGAACCGGAAGAACTTTCAGAAATTCCATGATTCTCAAACTCTGCTCCCTTGAAGAAGCAGTATGGAGGCCTGCCCTCAGTTACAGTGAAAAAAAGGGTTCTTTCCTCAACTCCCAGGAAAAATTAGATCATAGATACATTTTCTCAATTTTAGGTCTCTACTAAAATTTAAAAAGACTTTTTTGGGCTGGACGCAGTGGCTCACACCTGTAACCCCAGCACTTCGGGAGGCCGAGGCGGGTGGATCACCTTAGGTCAGGAGTTTGAGACCAGCCTGGCCAACATGTTGAAACCCCATCTGTACTACAAATACAAAAATTAGCTGGGCATAGTGGCGGGCACCTGTAATCCCAGCTACTTGGGAGGCTGAGGCAGGAGAATCACTGGAACCCAGGAGGCAGAGGTTGCAGTGAGCCGAGATTGTGCCACTGCACTCCAGCCTGGGTGACAGAACGAGACTCTGTCTCAAAAAAACAAAACAGACTTTGTAAAACTCATGAACATTTTCTAACATATGCAGAAGCAGAGAGTAGTGTAACGACCTCCCATTGCCATCACCTGGCTCCAGCAATTATCAAAAGATTTTCTAGTAAGTCTTCAACCCTTGGCATTTGCATCCCCACTCCCAACCAATGAAGGTAGCAGTGGGCATTATTAGAAAAACCAAAATGTTGATTTAATTTAAAAGACTTTAGTACACTTGACTTGCAATGTGGAGATCTCCAAACAAAATATATTTTCTGCTAATAACATTATTCCTTATTCCTATGCTGTAATTAAAGAATCCATGAATTCCAGTACAAGTTTTAGAACTACTGATCTCATTTTCAGACTAGGGGACTTGGGGCTACCGAGTTTTATAACTGGCCACAAGCTCCCAATGAAGAATTGGGAACAGGACTAGAATGGAATTAGAATTTACGTTTCCTATTCCAATGTGGGGCCCAGGCCCTGACTGTCACACAGTCTCCTCCTGGGCTATGCCTGGGGTTAGGAAGGGGCTAGATGCAGGTATCAAGAATGGGGAAAACACAGGTAGCTTTCAAGATTCCCAAGTCGCCCTCAGACTCAAGAGTAGTAGCTGTTGCTATCAGGCCTGTTTTCTTTGTTTGTCTGTTTTTGAGACGGAGTTTCACTCTTGTTGTCAAGGCTGGAGTGCAAAGGCTGGAGTGCAATGGCTCACTGCAGCCTCCGCCTCCTGGGTTGAGGCGATTCTCCTGCCTCAGCCTCCCGAGTGGCTGGGATCACAGGCACCTGCTGACACACCCGGCTAACTTTTTGTATTTTTAGTAGAGATGGGGGTTTCACCATGTTGGTCAGGCTGGTCTTGAACTCTTGACCTCAGGTGATCTGCCCGCCTTGGCCTCCCGAAGTGCTGGGATTACAGGCATGAATCACTGCACCCGGCCTATCAGGCCTGTTTTTGTTTTTTGGTTTTTGTTTTTTTGAGACGGAGTTTCGCACTTGTTGCCCAAGCTGGAGTGCAATGGCACAATCTCAGCTCACTGCAACCTCCATCTCCCAGGTTCAAGCGATTCTCCTGCCTCAGCCTCCCGAGTAGCTGGGATTACAGGCGTGCACCACCACACCCGGCTAATTTTTTGTAATGTTTTCTAAGTGGTGTAACAACAGCACAGACATTTCTCCTCTTTTCTCAGTCTCATTTTGCTCTCTGACATTTGAGCCCTTCTGAAACTGCCTCCCTGGGCCTTCCCAAGGCCGCTGCAGGTTCCTCCCCACCTCCTTCAGCTGATCTCAAGCGGCAACCTCTGTTAGCTGCATCCCCAGATCTCCACCCCCCACCCTCTGCCAGTGTTGATCCACTGACCCCTTACCCACCCTCCTAGATCCAAGTACCCTCCTCCTCCCAAAAAAGGCACCTCCCCTCCTGACAAACCACCCAGCCTTCAGGACCCAGCTCCAGCTGTTCCCCAGGCAATATCACTTGAAGGGCCAGCCAGCGCTTCCTAATCTCAGAATGCAACGCCTGCAACCTTTCATTCAGGGCACCTTTACTGAGCCGGTTTCCAGAAGCCTCCACAGCTGAGTGACATGTAAGATACTGGGACTACCAGAGGCATAGAGGATTCCTAGTTTTCCCATGATAGGATGAGGGCTCATAGCACCTGCAGAAAGAGCTGCCCTGAATGGGGCGTAGACGAATGCTGCCTGGGGTCATCTACGCATCAGCAGGGGTGGCTTCTGGCTTTTGACGGTTGAACTGGAATTTAGGGGAGGGCTGAGGAAGGCATTTCAGAGGGAGGAATACAGCAGGCACATACCTCTCGAGGCACAAGACACTTGGGCTTTTCAGGAATGGGAGTTTGTTGTGGTGGTGCACAGCGGGTGTGGGCAGAAAGCAGCTAGGAAATGTGGCTGGAAGGTGGGGCAGGGGCCAGAAGGAGGAGCTGCCACCAGACCCCAGGCTGCACCAGCCCTTCCCCTAGGCTGTGTGCCCCACCTGGGGGGCTTCTTCCCTGGGAACGCACTCCCCAGCTTAACTTCCTTCTCCTTGCCCACCCTTGTTGGACCACAGTTACTGAGTGAGCCTCTCCCAGATTACCCCCTTCAGGCTTTCCCTCCCCCAAGATTTAAGACGACTCAGAATGTCACAAAATGAAAGAAATGGAAAATAAGTGAACGGGGAAAATGAGACATTTCTGCAGTCCCTGAGGCTGAAGTGAGAATTCCTGCTGGAGCTGGGAAGGAAGTTGTTGTCTTCTGTCTGTTCCATCTCCTGTTGCTGTTCCTTCACCTGCTTACTAGTCCTGTAAGGACTAAGCTCTGTTTTAATCATGATCACACCCTGCCATAGAACCTCCAATGGCTCCCCATTGTCTCCCCCATCATGTCAGATACCCTCTGGCTATTTCTCAAGTCTTCAACCCTTCGACCTCCACAATCAGCCCACCCCACTTTCACTACAGTCCTCTAATAGAAGGGTGTCCCCTAGGAAGGGACATTGCCATGCTCCTTCCTTCCTTCCTGTCATCGTTCCTGCTGTGATTTCCCCAGTCCATTCTTCAGGGTTGAGGCCAAGAGCTGCTGCCTCCTCCAGGAAGGTTTCCAAGATTTCTCCAGTCCACAATGACCTCTTCCCTTCCCTGAATCCCTGTAACCCTCACTGGGGTTTGTTTGTTTGTCTGAGACAGTTTCACTCTGTCTCCCAGGCTGGGGTGCAGTGGTGCAGTCTCTTGGCTCACTGCAACCTCCACCTCCCAGGTTCAAGTGATTCTCGTGCCTCGCCTCAGCCTTCCCAGTAGCTGGAATTACAGGCACGCACCACCACACCCAGCTAATTTTTATATTTTAAGTAGAGATGGGGTTTTGCTATGTTGACCTGGCTGGTCTCGAACTCCTGACCCCAAGTGATCCGCCTGCTTTGGCCTCCCAAAGTACTGGAATTACAGGCATGAGCCACTGCACTCAGACTGTCCTTACGGTTAATATTACTTAGCACTCAATCATATTTCATCAGGGTATTTTTCACTGTTTCTTATGTGTTGATCACATCTTCCTCTGTCTGGCCTAATGCAATGGGCAGGGAGAACAGGCCCAGTGAATACCTGCTGGCTGGCTAAGCAGTTGGGAGGTAGGTGAATGTGGGACCACTTCTCTGGGAACATGAGATCTTAGATTTCCACCATGACAAGGGCCCACACACTTGATTTCGAGGTGGTTTTTCCAGGGGTGCTGACAGGTGTACCTGGAGGATGGCATGGGGACTGGTATGGACAGCCTCCATGGGTAAAGGGGGGCCAGAGTCTCCTCCATCCTGTATTCCTGCCATTCTCACCAGGCTTCTGAGCTGAGGAGAACCTTCCTTGGCCTGGCAGAGCTGGCCAGGGCTGTGGGGAGGGCAGGGTAGGGCAGTTCCTCCTCCCAAAGGAAGGCACTCCCTTAGCTCCTCTTCCTTCTAATTCTCAGAGCAAAATGCACTCTGATGGAGGGCTTGAGGGTTAGGAAGGGCCTCTCGCTTCATTAGCCCTCCCTGTAGCTCTGCAAGGCAGATGAGCACAGAGACCCAGGGTCAGTAGCTGGGCGGTCATCTCGCCTGGGAAGCCACTCACTCCAGTTTGTGTCGCGGCTGGTGGTTTTAGGACTCAGTTACAGCACATTGATGGCATGACTCGCTCATTAATCTCTTCACCCCAGCCGGATTCTAAATTCCGTCTAGGCAGCGGGTACCATGTCCTATTGTTCTAGGATCTGGTCTCTTTCCTGCTTCCGACCTGAAGGTAGGGACCCTTGACTCATGCATCCTTATACTTATTAGATGCTTAATAATATTGAATAGTGATAATGAAACATCTGTGACTGGAACATCATAGTCTCTCCTCCCTTCCCTCGCCACACTGAGATACAACCCACTCCCTCCGCCCAGGGCTGCCCAGCAGATAGCAGAGCCTTCATGGACCTTAAGGGTTGGCTGCTGTTTACTGCGACCTTTGGAGGCAAGTTCAAATACTGCCTTAAGAAAGGTCCCACTTACTGGGTGTGGGACCTTAGGCATCACTTACCCTGTACCCCAGCTGAGGTTCCTCCTCTGTGGATGGACTTGGCTGTACTCTGCATCTCCATGACAGCAGCACTCGCCAGCTTGTTTTCTGCCTCTACCCATTTCTGCATTTAAGCTCGTTCAATACAGGCATTCTGGGCACCCCCTGCCCCCAGGGCTGGCATGTGGGAGGTGCAGGGTGAAAGTGTGCTGAATGAATGAACAATTCTTATCTCAGAGTTGTGTGGACAACACACAACATTTAAAGCTCCTAGCACAGAGCTAGCATATAATAGGAACTTTATAATTTTTTAGAAAGTATTTTAAATTACATAAGTATTACACAAATACATTCTTGTGAAAAAGTCCGCCCAAACTTGCCACCCCAAAATTTTATTTTGAGACAGGGTCCTGCTCCATTGGCCAGGCTGGAGTACAATGGCATGATCATGGCTCACTGCAGCCTCAACTTCTTGGCTCAGGTGATCCTCCCACCTAAGCCTCCTGAGTAGCTGGGACCACAGGCATGTGCCACCACACTTGGCTAATTTTTAAATTTTTTGTAGAGATGGGGGTCTCCTTATGTTGACCAGGCTGGCTTTGAACTCCTGGGCTCAAGCAGTCCTTTTGCCTCCACCTCCCAAAGTACTGGGATTACAGGCATGAGCCACCACACCTGGCCTGAAAATTTAATTCCTTCACCAGAAATACTTGATGCTATCAGTTTGGTGTAACGTCATGATTTTTTCCTATCCGTGTGTATGCGTGTAAATATATAATTTTGCTTCAGGGGTTCTTTTTTTCCTGTTCTTTTTACACAAATGGAACCACACTGTAGTTTCATTTTACAGCTTGGTTTTTGACTTCCAATAAGTCTGTGCAATCTAGCCACGTAATTACTATTATATTCCACCATGTGGATTCCCATGGTTTTATTTAGCCATTCTGTTATTGGTGGCCATTTATGTTGTTTATGATATTTTACTGTTTAGCATTGCAGCGGTGAACATCCTTAGTCATACCTCTTTGTGCATCTGTTTCTCTAAGACAGATACCTAGAAAGAAAAAGGCCTAGCTGAAGGGAATGTGCATTTTACATTTTATGACATCTGCCAAACTGCCCTCTAAAAAGGGCACTCCAATTTATGCTTCTGTGAACAGGGTATGAGAAGACCTTTGCCAACATCAATATTTTGCTAGTCAAATGGGTGGGAAAATAGTATCTTGTTATGCTTTTAATTGGCATTTCCCAGATAATAAGGTTGAACATCTTTTCCTATGTTTATTGGCCATTTGTGCTGCTGCTTCTATGAGCTTAGCAAATGTTGCCTCCTCTGACTTTACAACCCTGCAGTCTCAACAGACTGTGCTTCCTGTCTGCCCTGAGGAGAGCAGGCCATGAATGTCCAGAAGGTCCCCCATGCTGTGTCATATTCCATTTAATAAGCAGTCACTCAGCACCTACTAAGTAAAGGGGCCTTGTGCTAGGGGCTATGGGAAGGAGGAGATAATAAGGTGTGATCTCCTGGGCTTTAGTCTAGTTCAGGAGAAATGGAAGTGCAAAGTAGACCAGTAAAGGCTCAAAACAAATTATTAGCCAACTGTATGGGAAGCAGTTTTAGAGCATTTGGACTGGAAGACATTCCTCACTTATTTGCCCTACCTGACCTTTTGCAGCGTGGCCTCAAAAATAACATCACCCTTGAAGGAGATGATGATGTTTGGAGTAGGCACAGCAAGTATACTTTACCCAAGGCTGAACAAGTTCTAGAGGCTCCCATGACAGCCTGTAAGCAGTAGTGACTTCGAGGGCTGGCCTTTACCATAGGCTACTAAAGTTGCCACAGAGGGACTCCCCATTGTCCTTTAAGTAGATGGGTTGGTTGCGCACCAGAGTCTTCACTTCTGGGGCACAGAGAGAACAGCTCTTAGAACAACCCCTACTTTTTAGTGGTGAGAAAAAAAGAGGCAGGGTGGGGTAGGTGACTAGTTGCTGGCCCAGGGCCAACTCCTGGCCACAGCAAAGCCTGAACCAGGGAAAGGGTGTTGAACTTCACTGAGCACCTACTTTACATCAGGCACTATGCCAGGAGCATTAGCTTTCACCACAATCCTAAAACATATTATCTGCATTTAATGTCTTTTTTTTTTTTTTGAGATGGAGTCTTACTCTGTCACCCAGTCTGAAGTGCAGTGGCATGATCTCAGCTCACTGCAACCTCTGCCTCTTGGGTTCAAGCGATTCTCCTGCCCCAGCCTCCCAAGTAGCTAGGATTACAGGCACCTGCCACCACACCCGGCTAATTTTTTGTATTTTTAGGAGAGATGGGGTTTCACCATGTTGGCCAGGCTGGTCTTGAACTCCTGACCTCAGGTGATCCACCTGCCTCAGCCTCCAAAGTGCTGGGATTACAGGCATGAGCCACCGCGCCCGGCCAGAAGTATTTTTTTAACCTGTATTTTGCTATTAGAAAATTAAGATTTATCTAGGTAAGTAGGTTGCGGCCACATGGGTATCCTGATGGAGTGGCCCAATGGGCAAAACTAGACTCCAAATCTCGTGTTGCTTCTGTTGTGTACCCAAATGACTAACCTACACTCCCAGTTTTCCTGGTTTCCTGGCTTGGAAATTGTCATGAAATTGAAGAATGCATTTAGAAGAGAGGGAGAGAGCTGGCCCGGCTTTCCAGCCTGCCGCATGCTCTTCCCGCCCCCGGCCTGCAGTTGTTGGGGCTGCTCCCCATGCCTCTTTGCCAGGAGGCTCAGGTCCCTTTCAGCCTCCCCGACCACCCCTCCCTGCTCTACTCATGTGGTCCTGAACCCTTGCCCTTGAATTGCTGTTTTTTCATGACCATGTGGATGATGTTGTGAAACTGGATTAAGAAAATGTTGGAATGAGATTTGGGAGGCCTGGTTTCTCGTCTCAGCTTCTGCCCCTCCTTAGCTATGGATGTGAGGAGGTCTTTCTGCTTTCGGCATTTTAGTTTCCTGGTTTATAATGCGACAGAAATAGATGAGATGACCCCAGAGATTCTAAAATTCCATCACGGCAGGTTGGGGGGTGAGACTGGAATCATGATCTGCACTCTCTTTATTACCTAGATTACCTTGTACATAAATTCTAAATTAAATATTTGAGTGAATTCTCAGACCTCGCATATACGTCTCTTCTAAAGGCACATACGTGAAGCATCCTTATAAAAACTCTTTTTGGCCGGGGGTGGTGGCTCACGCCTGTAATCCCAGCACTTTGGGAGGCGAAGGCAGGCGTATCATGAGGTCAGCAGATCGAGACCATCCTGGCTAACATGGTGAAACCCCCTCTCTACTAAAAATACAAAAAATTAGCCGGGCGTGGTGGCAGGCACCTCCCAGCTACTCGGGAGGCTGAGGCAGGAGAATGGCGTGAACCCGGGAGGCGGAGCTTGCAGTGAGCCGAGATCGCACCACTGCACTCCAGCCTGGGCGACAGAGCCAGACTCTGTCTCACAAAAAAAAACAAAACAAAAAACTCTTTTTAAAAAAAAAACCTTTGGCCCAGCACAGTGGCTCACGCCTGTAATCCCAACACTGTGGGAGGCCAAGGCGGGTGGATCTCTTGAGGCCAGGAATTCGAGACCAGTCTGGCTAACATGGTGAAACGCCGTCTCTACTGAAAATACAAAAATTAGCTGGGCGTGGTGGCACATGCCTGTAATCCCAGCTACTTGGAAGGCTGAGGCACAAGAATCGTTTGAGCCAGGGTGGTGGAGGTTGCAGTGAGTCAAGATTGCGCCACTGCACTCCAGCCTGGGCGACAGAGCGAGACCTTGTCTCAAAAAAAAAAAAAAAAAAAAAAAAACCAAAGGGTTGTCCAGCCTTTACTGAGCAGATACTGTGTGCTCAGTCTTTAAGATACCACCTTGTGTGTCTGGGTGTCTACTATGTTCCAACATTTTCTAGACACTAAGGAAGCAAATTTAAAGGCAAGTCAGAATTCTACCCTCCCCTGTGAGAGGTTGGTAGGTAAATGAATGAATTGTGCTGTAGCCAGGGCAGGGTTGTTTTAGAAATACTAAGGGAAGGACTGTGCAAGCAACTCCCTAGCCCTGCCTAAGGGCCTCAGGGAAGGCGGTGCCTAGGGAGAGGCAGTGTACCGCCATTGACCTGAACAGGACTGCTTGGCAGGGACAGTGGGGGAAGGGCATGGAGTGGGGTCCTAAGGGAGGTGGTCAAAGAAATCCTCTAGGAGTTTGGAGTCTAGAGTGCCTCAAAGTTTTTCCCATAGCACTGTCTATGGGGCTGACAAAGCAGAAAATATAATAGCCAATGTTCTCTCTGCTTTAAAAACCAGACTGCTTGTCAGGGAGGCCGTGGGATGTTCACATATGGGGTGGTCTGCCAGAGCCCTCTGCCGCTTTATTAAGAGGCCAGTACACTCGTTAAAGGAGTTAATGGACCTCAGTACTTACTACTGATTGCTTAGTAATTCAGTACTTGGTAAATAAACATGATACTATGCTAGTGGCGGGGTAGGGGGAGACCAATTGGATATAGTCCCTGTCCCAGAGGCACACATTGTCAAGTGGAGGAGGCAGGAATGTTTCCAACAAGCCTCAGTGGCAGTCAGAGCGTGGGGCTTGCTCTGTGCTCCTGTGTAAAGAGCCCAACATGAAGCATAAAGGAGCATGAGAGCAGCTTCTGGAGGACTCCAGGAAAGCTTCCTGGAGGAGGCAGGCATCCTTTGAGAATTTCAGTAAGTGCAAAAGAGGCTGGGTGCAGTGTAATCCCAGCACTTTGGGAGACCAAAGTGGGAGGATTGCTTGAGCCCAGGAGTTCAAGAGCAGCCTGGGCAACATGGCCAGACCCACTCTCTACAAAAAAAATATTTAATTAGCTGGGCATGGTGTTGTGCACCAATGGTCCCAGCTACTCAGGAGGCTGAGGTCGAGGCTGCAGTGAGCCATGATCATGCCACTGGACTCCAGCCTGGGTGACAGAGTGAGATACTATCTCAATAAATTATAAACAAACAAATAAAAAAGTGTTAAAGAGGAGGAAGGCATTTCAGGAAAAGGAACTACTGAGGGCAAAGAGAAGGAGGCATGACTTCTGGGTTGTTTAGGGAGTAGTAAGAGATCTGGTAACTAGGGTGCAGGGGTTAGGGAGGATGGGCAAGAAGAGACAGAACTAGAAAGCAAGATGGTCACATCCTCAGTGGTCTTCCTGCCATAGTGAGAAATTTAGGCTTCGTTGTCCAGTGGAGAGCAGGGGTGGAAGAGAATTGGACACATAGTTTAGGAAGATAACCTGGCAGGACAATAAGTATTCCCCAGAGAGAGGAAGTTTAGAAGCAGGACCAGGTAGGAGAACATTACATTTGGCCTTGACTGAGGGTTGAGGTAATGAGAGGCAAACTTGAAGGAATTGCTAGAACTGGTCCTGGTTGGAGGGGAGGGAAAAATTTGTCTGGTATTGGGAGCTGGGCTGGGGATAGGGTTCATTATCTGAGGTAGAGAATCTTGGAGGAAGAGCAGGTTTGAGGCAGGATGATACAGTGAACTTTTCATTTTCTTATGTATTCTGATGAGCAGAAGTTTTTAATAAAGTCCAACTTACCCATTTTTTTCCTTTATTGGTTAGTGTTTGTGTGTGTTATCTCTAAGAATTCTCTGTCTACCGCAAGGTCTTTAAGATATTTTCTCTTAGGAGGGGGTGGATTTTTGAGCTAGGGTTTGGATAAGCTGCTTTTGAGAAGCCAGCAGATTGGTGTCAATGGGGACAGGTTTTTTTTTTTTTTTTTTTTGAGACGGAGTCTTGCTCTCTCGCCAGGCTGGAGTGCAGTGGCACAATCTCAGCTCACTGCAACCCTTGACTCCCTGGTTCAAGTGATTCTCCTGCCTCAGCCTCCCGAGTAGGTGGGGTTACAGGCATGTGCTGCCATGCCCAGCTAATTTTTGTATTTTTAGTAGAGACGGGGTGGGGTTTCACCATGTTGGCCAGGATGGTCTTGATCTCCTGATCTCATGATCTGCCCACCTTGGCCTCCCAAAGTGCTGGGATTACAGGTGTGAGCCACTGCGCCCGACCCCAGGGGACAGGTTTAGTCAGATTCCAGGGTGGTCCTCATGGAGGGGACGCACAGGCAGGAGGGCAGGGAGAGAAAGCACAGAAAGCAGACCTGCTAGGAGAGGACCAGGATAGGGAGGGGCAGGGACAAGGACATGGGACTTCTGGGAGCAGGTGGCCGGGGGTCAACGTCCAGGAGGATTTCCTGAACCAGTTAGAGGACTACTGAACCCCCCTTTCACCTATCTATGCAGCCCTTTACTTTTACAATATATACATTTCTATTTATTTTATTTATTTATGGTTTTTTTTTTTTTTTGAGACGGAGTCTCACTCTGTCACCCAGGCTGGAGTGCAGAGGTGTGATCTCGGCTCACTTCAACCTCCGCCTCCTGGGTTCAAGCAATCCTCCCACCTCAGCCTCCCAAGTAGCTGGGATTATAGGTGTCCGCCCCCACCTCTGGCTTTTTTTTTTTTTTTTTTTTTTGAGACAGAGTCTCACTCTGTCACCCAGGCTGGAGTGCAGTGGCATGGTCTTGGCTCACTGCAACCTCTGCCTCCCGGGTTCAAGTGATTCTCCTGCCTCAGCCTCCTGAGTAGCTGGGACTATAGGCACACGCCACCATGCCTGGCTAATTTTTGTAATTTTAGTGGAGACGGGGTTTCACCATGTTGGCCAGGCTAGTCTCAAACTCCTGAGCTCAGATGATCCACCCACCTCAGCCTCCCAAAGTGCTGGGATTACAGGCATGAGCCACCACACTTGGCCACCTCTGGCTAATTTTTGTATTTTTAGTAGAGATGGGTTTTCACCATGTTGGCCAGGCTGGTCTCGAACTCCTGACCTCAAGTGATCTGCCCACCTCGGCCTCCCAAAGTGCTGGAATTACAGGCGTGAGCCATCATGCCGGGCCTACGTTAATTTTTGAGACAGAGTCTTGCTCTGTCGCCCAGGCTGGAGTGCAGTGGCATGCTCTGATCGTAGCTCACTGCAGCCTTGGACTCTTGGGCTCAAGTGATCCTCCCACCTCAGCTTCCCAAGTAGCTGGAATTACAGGCACGTGCCACCATGCCCTCTGTGGAGCCCTTTCTGACTTCCATCAACTCCCTGCGACCACCCCGCATCCTTCACCTCTCAGTCCGCACTCCCTCCCAGGCCAACTGCATGGTGAGTGTGTGTGTGTGCTCCCAGGCCAACTGCATGGTGAGTGTGTGTGTGTGCAAGTGTGCGTGTGAATGTTACCATTTTTCTGACTTGCCATTCTTCAGTAGCAACTCTACAGATGCGACAGCTCTTCCCCGTTCCTCTTTAGTCCATGAATGGTGGGCAGTATAAATATTATTTTCACTTGCAACTCAGATGGATTGAACAAAAACAGGAATAACAGCTCAGCCTCCTGTATATTTGACGCTAGATGCTGTTGGAAAGGCAGCTTTGTGGGGCAAAAAAAAACAAAAATTGAGTGAGCTTGCTTATATATACCAAAGATGCTCTTAGACTTCAATGTTTCTCAAAGGGTGAGATTGTGTGTTACCTCACCAGAACCACCTGGGCAGTGCATTAAAAAGGCACACTCCTGGAGCAGAAGCTCTGGGACAGTACTTGTAGGTTTGATTTTCTAGCCAGCCCCCAGATGATTCTGGGGCTTACTACAGCTTGAAAACCACCAAGCCTCAGATGATTAGAGGTAAACCAAATCTGGCACAGATGAGATTCCCACACAGATGTATTGGTAGATGCATTTATTGTATCGCCTGCATTGGCGGCGGGGGTCTCTCTACACATTTTGTTTAAACCTGGGCCAGGTTAATCACGTTGGGAATTTAGTGATGTACCCAGCAAGGGTGGTTTCCCAAGCTCTCCGGGTAATTGATAGGGCTTGGGTTGCCAGTCTGATTGTGGTAACAAGCAAAGGAAGAAGTAGGGACTGTAAGGCGGGCAGACCTAGGGAACAGTTTCCAAACAGGGTTGGGGGGGAAAGACCGGAAAGGACTTGGTACAGGAATTTAAATGTTTCCTTTCGGATGGAGATGGCAGGGGTCCTGCTGTTTTCAGCAATAGTTACCGCAGTGCCTGTCTGCTGGGCTCCTCTGGAGTCTTCTCTTTGGACCCTGAAACTTGAGAGGGTCTGCATGCCTGAATCTGAATGCGGCTCCTTTAGGCCCCTCCCTTTGACCCCTGGAGCCTGGAGAAGGGGTGGGGGAAGGGTGGGGAAAACAGGCCTGGCTGTTAAGGTTTACCAGGTTCCTTTTGGCCACACCCCCCTTAGTATAAACTTAACACTTCTCTCCAGGGTCCAGTTTCTAAAGCAAAGTGACAGCATCGACACGTCCCTAAAGCAAACTTGTCATGAAGTCCCTCACCTCTCAAATGTGAGTCCCTCCTGGCTTCCTTTGATTTTATCTGTAATATTTAGCAGATACGTGTGATTCTATTAGGCTAGTTAGGAAACCAAGGCCCAAAGAAGCTAGGGGTTATTTAAGGTCTTGTCATCAGCTGTAAAACACCCTGCTCAGCGCCCTGCTCAGTGAAAGACCTGGCATCCCCTCCCAGTTGAATTTCCTGGTAAGGGGCACCTGAGATCCGGTATCAGTGGGGTACTGCTACTCTCCCACCCCTGCCCTGGCATCTCTGCTCCCTGGCCCCAGACTCCGTCACTGGTAGAGCTGGGCAGACCCAGCAGTTCCAGGATAGCGGGTGGAAGTGAGCAGGAAGGAAGAGCTGGGTTTGTGGAGAAGCCTTCCCCTTATGGGGCAGGCTATAGGGAAAGGGAAGGCAGCCACCAAAGCTCCAGAGCCTGATGGCGCATCTATTGGGCTGGGACTTCCCAGCATACACCATTAGGGAAGTGTAGGGTTGGCTGGGAGAGAACGAGGGAGCCAGGGGCTCTGGGATAGAGGTGGGGAGAGAAGGGGAGGTGAGGGTATCAGCAAGAGGGAAGTTGGGCTTTCCTTTCCAGCAGTTGGGCTCCCCCATCCTGCATCTTCCTCCTTGATTTAGAAGAATTCATCTAGAGTGTCAGTGCAAAAAGCCCCTTACCACTCCCCCTCCCTAACAGATACCCTAAGGCTGTGCTTGTGCTTTTCATTCCTGCCATTCATCTGCCAGGAAGCTCATGCAGTTACAGATGCCCCCTAGATCTGGCCATTCCTGTCTGAAAAACCTGGGAGGTTGTGCCCATTCCTAGTTTCCGCTCTTTCATCTTCCCTTGAGCCTTCCTGCCTTGACTGATCCCAGCTGCCTCTGAGTTCCTTCGGCACATGTAGAAAGCATCCCTACCACATAATTTACCATCTAATTGCATGCTGTCTTGAATGAGGGCTGTGGTTTCATGTGTGGTGGGTCTTGGGTACACAATTAGGCTGTGAGTAACAGAGGCCTAGAGCCCCATCATGTCTACTAGCTCTTGCACCTCTTTGCTTCCCTTCCCCCCAGCCTACCTACTGCAGGTGCTAAGGACTGACTGACCTGATCCGGTGTTTAGGTGAGCTTCAGGCAGGCTCCCAGGATAAAGCACAATTCGCTTACAGGTTCTAAAACCAGACTGCTCAGTGCAGGGGTTAGGGGGGTGCCCCTGCCCGACAGCATTTGCCCAAATGCCGCTCCTCTCCCCAGACTCAGGGAGGAGGTTCTGGGGCAGGGCCGAGGTTTGGGGTGATGGCATAGAGCCCAACCAGGCAGCACACTGCAGTTGCCATGGTGACCCTTTTGCTTTTCTTCAGGAGGATGGATTTCTCTTTTAGCCCAAATCATCTGCCTGGGCTACTCTGAGAACCAGATTCCTAGCCCCCTACCTTCCACATTCTACCACAGGGGGCAGCTTGTCAGAGGCTTTGGTTTGAAATCACAGTCCAGCATCAGACAGCAACAGGTTGTGCTTGATCAGGGAGCAGGTGGGAAAGGCCCAGAGGAGGGCTCACCTGGGACGCATGCCCCGAGGGAGCTGACCTCCATCTCCTTCTGCTTCCCCTCCTCTCTCCAGACCACTTCTCTCCAGTGAATTGCTCTGACCTTTCAGGTGGGCTCGGGCCTCTCTAGGCCTCAGTGTTCTCATTTGTAACAGACACAGCCAGGGTCTCCGTGTTTCCACACCTGGCTAGTATTAGAATTACCCAGGGAGGTTTTAATAGATTCCTGGGCCCCACCTTAAGCCCGCTGATCTACGTAGGTAGACCCCAAGAATCTGTATTTTTAAAGCCCTCCTTGGGTGATCCAGATGCAATTAAACCAAAGTGAATCTGGGGTTCTCCTGGCGAGGTGATTAGCAAGGCCCTCGTGAAAAGAAAGGAAGTTCTGCCTGTGCTAAGGATTGACTGGCCTCTCCGGGCTTCCAGGAGCTTCTGGAGAGCCCCTTACAGCCTAGTCTTGTCAGGAAGCGGGTGTTTCCTGGTCATGCCGGCTAAGCCAAGACCAGACCCCCACTTCTCTCCCTCCAGAGAAGCCAGGAGAGAGAGAATGACAGGAAGGGGGGATGTTGCCATAACAACAAGCTCCAAGCAGAGGCCTCCCTTCCAGGGGCTGGTACTTCACCCCAGTCCTGGTGGTTTCCATGGAGATGGGTTACTGAGGGACAGGGGGAATGTCTGCCCCACTTAGAGCATCAGCCAGGAGCTGCCAGAAGGCAGAACACCGCTAGGTGCGAGCCTTTGGACCCCTCTGCTCTCCGGGTGCACATCTGACACCTTCCCCCTGCTTAGTTGCTCTCTCTGCGACTGGTCTCCTTAGCAACAAGTCCTGCTAACTCCACGCTGTTGGCTTCATGGCTATTTTTAGCTTCACTGCCAGCAGCCCAGTCCTGGTCATTTGCTTGCAACCTCCATATGGATTGCAAGGGAATAGGAAAACAAAGATTCCCAGCCTCTTTTGGTAGACTGGGACCTCGTAGCAACGATTAGAATTCCTGCTATGAAATGGATCCATTCCCCAACTTGGAACTTGGGCAGTGGATTTGGGATAAGGTTCCTGAGACAACACTGCATTCAGTTCATTTTTAATCCTCTACTATGGGCAAGATGCTCTAGCCCACACTGCTTCCATACGAAGGTGAATGAGGTCCAGTCCCTGCCCTCTAGGAATATTTAATCTTGTAAAGGAGAAAGATGAGTACACAATCACCTTCGCACAAGGCAAAGACTGGCAGGTCCTAACAGAGGCTTACAAAGTACAAGGGGAGTGTGGCAGGGATGGGGTAGAAGATAAGGGACAGAAGGGAAAGATAAGGGACAGAAGGGAAAGATAAGGGACAGAAGGGGAGGATAAGGGTGAGGGGCCAGGGCAGCACTGTCAAAAGAACTTTCTGGGATGATGGCAATGTTTTAAAATCAGTGCCATCGAATTCAGTAGCCCCCAGCCACATGTGGCTCTTGGACACTTGGAATGTAGCCAGTGTGACTGAGGAACTAAATTTTAATTTGTATTTAATTCAAATAGACACATGCAGCCAGTAACTGCCATCCTGGACAGTGCAAGGCTAGAGGAACTTTCATGGTGGAGGTCACTGGCGGACTGGTGTAGAAGGATATGCAGGGTTTAGGTGGTGAAAGTTGAAGGGGAGGAACCTTCCAGGAAGAAGGAACAGCATGAGGAATAGCAAGTGGGCGGGCAAAGCGTGGGCTTCATGATATCACACGGAGGCCTCCAGATTCGTGGGGGCCTAGAATGTCACGCAGAGTGTTGACTGATTGGCATTGAGGCTTTTGAGCTGTAGGTGGGAGGAGGACGGGTTCAGAACAGACATCCATCCTGACCTCTCTTTTTGTCTGGATCAGGTCTCCCTGGTCTTGGGGTTGGTGGGAATACGTGTGGGGTGGAAATACGTGTGCAGTGACTTCATATGTGTTGCTTTGCAGATGGCTTTATAGGGACCATGGCTTCTCTGATTCAGAGTAGAGAGACTCGCATGGTAAATGTCCTGGTGGGATGACAGCAACATCATCTACCCTCATCCTGCCGGAACTGGATTTTATGACAGAGCATGCCACAGAGCACTGAACTTTGAGTAAAACGTCAGGCATGAGCTCCGGGCGTTGCTGCTCTTTGGAGAGGTATCATGATGGGCTAGTGTCTCGTCTCAATTCTTTGAGGCTGGAAAGTCACATTAACATACTTATGATCATGACTCTTCAATGACCCAGGAGAATGATGCACCCCAGAATGTTAGATTTACCAATTGATAACAGGACATGTCCTTGCCACACAAATCATAATGCTTGTCCTGCTGTTTTCTGGCAACTTACTGGTATCAGAGTCATTGGAAAATGTAATTAAAATTGGAAGTTTGCTTGATGAATACAGGATCAGGGCAGAGAGGTGTCCTTCAGAGGTATTTTTGTCGGGCTTAGGAGGCCTATGGGATCACTGTTGTCTGCCCACCAAACAGGAACTGTGCTCTCATTCTCAGGTCACTCTCTCCATTGGACCACACTGGATACTTCCTTTCCAGCACCTCTTTTAGGCTCTTGACATCCAGCATATTTTCTTCTCATCCAGGAGTTCCTCCTTTCAACATACTTTTATAACAAATCCAAGAACATGGCTTATTTTACATGGTGCTGCTATTTGAGTTTGGCTATCTTTAACTCAAACAAAAGACCTATCTGGTAAACTACCAGGGAGGTTTACTTTGGAAGCTCAAGAGCATGTGTGACCTGAGGATCCTTGAAGATTGCCCCATTTTAGTAAGGGGATTTTTCCTTTTACTAAAATCACCCCTGCTCTAGATCTTGGGGTCTCTTCTGCTTTGGGGTCTGACTGTGCATTGACCACAAAGAAGACACATCTCTGTTTAAGCGACTCAGTCTAGAAAAGGCAGTGTTTCCTGTCTGCATAGTTACAGGAGAGGGAAGAAAGATGCTCTGGGTTGTTAAGGGGACACCTTTGAGCCTAGGCTTCCTTTTGCTTGTTGGGAAGTTGTGTGGAAGAGGTAGGATTTGACTTTAATGTTAAAGGATGAGAATAAGGAAGTTTGACGGCCGGAGGGAACAGCTACCTAATATGTGGCCAAGAGAAAGTGAACAGTTCTGGCCAGTTCTGACACCTTGAGTCCTTGCTGCACGCACGGCATCATTGCAGTCTTATGTCCCAAGACCACAGAATGTGGAGTCTAAGGTGTTTAGCCGCATTATAATGGAAGAGCGGGTATCGTACATGAGACAGTGTCTGCAAAAGGCCACCAAGCCAGAACCAGAAACTTCTTTTGAGAGGAGGCCTGAAGTAAGTTCTCAGGCCCGTTGACCGGCATGGATGCAGAAGAGGTATCAGTGAGAGAAGCAGCGAAGCAAGTCATGCTGCATTCCCTAAAGGTTGGGAGCAGGCAAGAGGGACAAATTCTGGGCTTCTCACTTCTGCTTGGGGAGCCCCTGGAAATGTGTACCAGGCAAATACCTTAGTTGGGTTGAAAGATGGGTTGGAACAGAAGAGGGCCTGTGTTTTTGTTTGTTTGCTTGTTTTTCGAATAGCTTCTTTTCCTAGCTGTATGGATTCTGGGTCTCAGGGTTGGGGGGGAGTCTGTACCCAAGTCTTCTAGGTAGAAGGCTCTCTGGTTTGGGGTCCTTGCTCTTCAGGGTTTGCTTGCTCTGATGGCCCTCAGGGGGAGGGGGGGCTCCCTCACTGCACATCTCGTGACTTCATTATACCAGCACCTGTATGTCCCAGGTGACTGTGGCTGGGAGCCAGGCACCTAGAGAATTGTCTCATTGTCATTAGGAGATGGTGGCGTTCCATGGCCAAAGAGGGCTGATGTCATCACTCGTTTTGCAGATGAGACAACAGATTTCTTGGGGGTTAAGTGACTTGTTTAAGGTCATGGTGGTGGAAACAGAACTGAAGTCCAGATCTTTTTTTTTTTTTTTTTTGAGACGGAGTCTCGCTCTGTTGCCCAGGCTGGAGTGCAGTGGCATGATCTCGGCTCACTGCAACATCCGCCTCCTAAGTTGAAGCGATTCTCTTGCCTCAGCCTCCCAAGTAGCTGGGATTACTGGCGCACGCCACCACGCCTGGCTAATTTTTGTATTTTTAGTAGAGACAAGGTTTCACCATGTTAGTCAGGCCGGTCTCAAACTCCTGACCTCATGATCCGCCTGCCTCAGCCTTCCAAAGTGCTGGGATTATAGGCGTGAGCCACCGCGCTCGGCCAAGTCCAGATCTTCTAACAAGTGCCGCTGCCCAAATAGCCCTCTGCTGTGGGGTGCATTTTCCTCCATTTCCTCAGTTCTTCCTTCTAATTCATCTTGCCAACGGCAACTAGGCTGATTTTTCCAAAATACTCATTCATCTTGTCAGAAAACCTGCGGTTATTCTTCCCTGCTACAGAATATACCCAAGGACGCACCTGAAGGCTTGCCATTACCTTGCCCTGTCGTGTACTGGGAGGGTGGAGGTGGGCGAGGGTCTCCTCCCTCCCCAGCCCGGCAGCTCTTGCTCATCCTACCCATCTCACCTCATTCCAAGTCCGATCCAGCCTCCAGGCCCAGTCGGCTCACCTGGAACTGACCTCTGACCTCTTTTGTCATCCATGCCGCCCATTTTTTTCTACTTGGTATTTGTGGCATAGTTACCTTTACATATGTTTGTTTTACAGTGATCCTTTCATATTTCTCCAAGTCTAGTGGAATCTTCAACCCCTCGAGGGCAGAGCCAACAGGGTCTATTTCTTTATCTGATCCTACAGCCAACGTAATGGAGGGCTGTGGGTGGGGACTGCGTCTGCCTTGGGGGTAGGTGCCTTTGTTCAGGAGGAGGAAGCTTGAAATGGCGGAGGCTGCACCTGGAGGCCGCACCTGGAGGCCCCAGGAGAGGAGTCAGGTCTTCTCGATCTGCAGATGTTTGAGCCTGGGAATGAAGGAATTGCTGAACTTTCTGAAGGAGCGCCCTCGCCGCGACCAACCTTGCAAACAGGAAAATGAGAAATCCAGGGAAGGCCCAGAGTGACGCAGGGGCCCTGGGACTCGAAGCCTGACCTCCTCACGCCGCGCTTTTTGAGGCCCCCCCGCTTCTCTATTCACCTGTAGTGTGGAGGCGGGAGACCCCCCAAACAATCCCCGATCTGGAGCGCTCCCAATGCCTGCGCGCGCCTGCTGTCACTCTCCGTCTGTGTGCTGAGTTTTCCTACAGCTTCCTGGGCCTCCTATCTGTAAGCTTTTTCTTTTTTTTTTTTTGGTTGTGCTTCAGAGAAACTCACTTTTCACAACTTTCTCCCGGCTCTCCCAGGCCGTCCGAAAGCTCCGGCTTGCTTTCGCCCGGACCCCCGGCTCCCTCCGGGCAGGCGGCTCGGGAGCAGCCCCTTCCCTCCCCTCCCGGCCCCCCGGCCCCGCGCTAATCTCTTCCAGAGCTGGGGGAGGGGCCAGGCGGTCTTCCCGAAGGCGGGGCGCTCCCTGCAGCCCGGCCTGGGCGGGCCCTGGGAACGGGCGGGGAACGGCCTCGCCCCCCGGCCCCGCGCCCCTCGGACCGGAGAAGAGGGGCTGGCCCAGCGCCAGCGTCGGAGCGCCGGCCCCCTCCCCGGGCCGCTCGCAGCCAACCAGGCCCTCCAGCGGGGCCCACGTGACCTGGAGTCCTAGACAAAGAAAATGTTCCCTCCCTCCCCCCCGCCGCCCCCCTCCCCTCCCAGTGGCCCCCTCCGCCCCCAGCCCCATCGCCCCCTTCCCCTCCCCCAAGACGGGCAGCTACTTCCAGAGCTTCAGGGCCGCGGCTCACACCTGAGCGCGACTGCAGAGGGGCTGCACCTGGCCTTATGGGTAGGTTCCTGGACGGAGCCCCGGGGAGACCGGGGGCGGGGAGGCGGCAGGGCCGGTGGGAGGATCTCCGCAGCCCTCCGGGTTTGAAAAGAGTGAAGTATGCCTCCCCGGCCCGCAGCAGCCGCGGCGTCCCGGCCTGGCCCGAGTTCTGGAGATGCTGACTTAGTGCTGGCCCGCCGCCTTCCTGCCCACGAGCCCCAAGGCCCCACTCCTCGAGGGCTCCAGTGGCACCTGGCGCCCTCGGGGGACAGGAAGAGCAGCCGGCCGGGAGCCCGGGCAGTGGTAACTGCAGGCTGGGGCACGCGGAGCTGGTGGCCCAGGAGTTGGGTTGGAGGCAGCTTCAGCTGAGCTGGCAGATGGGTGCCTGGCACTTCCCTGGTGACCTGCGTTTCTGGCTGGGGGACCACGCGGTCCTCAGGGCCCTGCCAGCTTGCGGCCTCTTAAGAGGGACAGCTTCCTCTCCTGCGAGTTCCTGGAAGCCTCCAGGCAGGCCGCCAGAAAGAAGTGGTGGGGGGCGGGAGAGCACGGTGCGACCCTGACAGGGGGCCGGCCTGTGACACCAGGGTAGCCCAAGGCCGCATGGGCTTGGGGGCGGTGGCGCTCAGACCTCTGACCTTTGGAATGGGAAGCGCTGCAGTCGCAGGGGGAGGTGGAGGCGGGACAACTGCCTGAGGAGATGGGACTGGACCGGAGGCAGTAGTCACCGGAGTTCCCGGTGGCTTTCCCAGTCTGGACGGACTCCAGGCCCAGGGGCTTCCGTGAGCCAGCAGGGAGTGGGGAATAGTGTGGTGTCTCTTGAATGCCGCCTGGTTTCTCCGCCCCCCTGGGGGTGAGCAGCCCGCAGCCCAAATGCGAGAGCCTCGAGTTCACCCCTGTTTCTCTTATTGTTTGCCTGGGGAGGAAGGCAGGAGTGCAGAGGGAAAGGGGTGCTTTCCCTACGCCCCAGACAGGCCTAGTCTAGTGAGGCCCCTCCCCCACCCAGCTCCGGCTGCCCCTTCCCCTTTCGTCAGGCCCCCTGCTGCTCACCCACCCCCCCCCCCGCTTCTTCCTTCCCCCACCCCACTGCCCCAGTCCTGATGGAGGCCCCTTCCTCCTCCGCCAGCCCTTACCGGGCCGGGTGCGTGTTCTGCACCAAGTGGGCTGGGGATGCTGAACAGCTCGCAGCGCGGCATCTGACAAGCTGGGGGAAGTTGTGGGGGAAGAAGAATGTTCAGGAACTCGCTGTGAAGGGGCTGAGAGACAAAGGGGCCGTGGGGGAGTGCTGAGGGTGGTGTCAGGCACGACTCCTAGACCTGGGGAGCCAGAGGAGGAGCCCAGCCCACCTGCTGCTGCCGCTGCCAGGAACTGATAGCGGGTCCTTTCCCCTTCCCGCCCACTGCTACCTGCACACCTCGTACTGGCTCAGGGGCCTCGCCACGCCTGGAAACGGGGTCTTTGGATCATCCGAGGCATCACCCTAGGTCAGCCACCCATGCCTGAAGCTTGAGAAGGCGTGGTGGGCGAGGAGCAGCGGCGTGGTGTGGGCTCCTCTGCGAGGGTAGCTGACGCAGCTGAGGATCCCAGCAAGGGAGGCACCCTCCCCCATAGCGGGGTCCACACTTCAGTGCACCTTCTCGTAGGGGAGGAGGCGATGGCTAATTGATAGTAGGAAGGGGAGGGCAGAGTTCTGGCCAGGTGAGAGTGGGGCTAGGGAGCGATGAGCAATTACTCCACATTCTTCCACCCCCGCAGTCCGATCCGTGAGCTCATTCCGCCATCCATGAGCTCATTTTCCCAGCTGTTTGGGGGTTGGGGGCAAAGGATGCATTATCCTGTTTTAGAATTTGTTGAGTCAGAGGAAGAACTAGGACTTAACATCTTCAGTGTTTTTCGGAATCGCCATAAGAAACAGATTGGTCTGTGGCTTGGAGGCAAAGACTTGAAGACTCAGTGAAATTAAATGAATCTGTAAGACAATACATTGGACCACTGAGCTTCAAACAAAGGTTCTTAACCTGGGACCCTTGGATCTGGGGGGTCCATTGACAGGCTTTGGGAGAGTCCTGGGAATCATTGGTCCATATATACACCAGATTTTTAAACAGGTCAGAAAAGCTTTCCAGAAATCCTTCCGTTCAGGTGCCTTTTTATGTTGGAGCAACTCCTAGAAAGGACTGCTCCAAAGTCAGCTGCTGGTTGTGAGGCTCCGACAGGAATGTAGAGGCTGCAACTTCAGATTAGAGCTCTTCTTCATACTCCAGGTTGCTTGCTCATCCTCTTTACCCTTGAGGATGGGTTTGCATTCGCAGCTCTAGGCCCATGGGGGAGCTCTTTTGAAAGGCATGTAGAAAATGGGGTTTTCTCCCCTCTAAATCTGGTATGGTGGAAATGGGTGCAAAGCCTTGAAGTCAGAGGGCCGTGTTTCCTAGATTCAGTAAAAGGCTAATGGTTCTCAGAGCTAAGTATCAAGGATTTCATTCTCCTTTGTAGGGATCCTGGAGCGGGTTGTGAGAAGGAATGGGCGCGTGGATCGTAGCCTGAAAGACGAGTGTGATACGGTGAAAGGATGGAGGCTGTGCAATGGGAGAATAACTGGGGTTTGGCTTATTAATTTGTTGGTGGGATGGCAGAGAGCACGCCTGGTCTATAGTGCCTGCTCAGTAAATAACTGAATGAATACATGTATTTATGGATCTGAAGGGTGCACATAGAAGGGGTCGAATCTGGTAACAATACACACTGGGTGTGATCCATAAGAACTCCAGCATGGCGTCTGAGCATGGGAACAGACAGGCTCTTGGGGAGCTTCCTATGGTGTTTGAGCATGTGCTGGGGGGAGATGGGCTCTTTAAACCCAGAGCAGTGATTTCTTCGTCAGCAGACATCACAAAACTAGAATTGTGGCCTGGAAACCAGGAATAGGAAGGATTGATTGCCCAGGGGAATTGTGGAGAAGAAGAGAGGGTCCCCCTTGCTTTTTAAATTTTTGGTGACAGGGTCTTGCTATGTTGCCCAGGCTGGTCTTGAACTCCTGGGCTCAAGTGATCCTCCCTGCTCAGTAACTGGGATTACAGGCACATGCCTGGCTGAAGATCCTAGTCTTGATTAAGAAGATAGGAGAGGGTGGAACCAATATCTGTGTCTAAACAATAGTGCCTGATTAATATTTGGATAGAATTAACATCTCCATAGGTAGGGGGAGGGATAGCATTAGGAGATATACGGTATAATGCTAAATGACAAGTTAATGGGTGCAGCACACCAACATGGCACATGAATACATATGTAACAAACCTGCACGTTGTGCACATGTACCCTAAAACTTAAAGTATAATAATAATAAAATTAAAAAAAAAACATTAACGTAGGCTAGACACAGTGGCTCATGCCTGTAATCCCAGCACTTTGGGAGGCTGAGGCGGGCAAATCACCTGAGGTCAGGAGTTAGAGACCAGCCTGGTCAATATGGCGAAACCCCATCTCTACTAAAAATACAAAAATTAGCCAGGTGTGGTGGTACATGCCTGTAATCCCAGCTACTCGGGAGGCTGAGACAGGCGAATCGCTTGAACCTGGGAGGTGGAGGTTGCAGTGAGCCGAGATTGCGCCACTGCACTCCAGCCTGGGTGAAAGAGTGACTCTGTCTCCAAAAAAAAAAATAAATAAATAACATTTCCGTATCATAGGGTAGGCAACCGATATGCTGATGAGATTGAGGAAGATTAGATCTGGGAGGAAGGTTTCCTAAAAGGCAGAAAAGAAGGCTGGAATTGTGTGACTTGAGTTCACCTCTCTACTTCAAGTCTTTCCATTTTTCACGGCAAGGCAGCTGGTTGGCTCTCTCCAGCCCTTGACCTTCTGTCACTGTTCCGGGTTTTGACAAACATGGTCCCCTTGAGTGTCAGGTGGCCTTGCTAATTCCTGGAGAGGTCAAGGTGACTTTTTGTTTTTTGTTTCCCCAGGCTGAGAAGAAAGCCAAGGTCATTGCAGGAATGAATGCTGTGGAAGAAAACCAGGGGCCCGGGGAGTCTCAGAAGGTGGAGGAGGCCAGCCCTCCTGCTGTGCAGCAGCCCACTGACCCCGCATCCCCCACTGTGGCTACCACGCCTGAGCCCGTGGGGTCCGATGCTGGGGACAAGAATGCCACCAAAGCAGGCGATGACGAGCCAGAGTACGAGGTGAGCGGCTTCTTCACCAGCCGTGGCCAGCTCTTTCCGGGGGCCTTCCACTGCCAGCTCCTCCCGTCCTGCTCTCCTCTCTCCATCTCCCACGGGCCGCTCGCTCTCTCCACCTGACCCCGGGCCTCTTCGTCTCCCCGATTTTGCTCTGTCTTGCCTCATTCAGATGGAGCTCCCTCCTGGCTGTCCTGCCCCCCAGATGCCCAGGGCTGGGGTTGCCATGGGGGGATCAGGGTGGCAGGGCCTCGTGACCACTGTGTAATGATTTCTGCTCCTTGGGGCTCCAGGACGGCCGGGGCTTTGGCATTGGGGAGCTGGTGTGGGGGAAACTGCGGGGCTTCTCCTGGTGGCCAGGCCGCATTGTGTCTTGGTGGATGACGGGCCGGAGCCGAGCAGCTGAAGGCACCCGCTGGGTCATGTGGTTCGGAGACGGCAAATTCTCAGTGGTAAGTTGTGGGGTTTGGCAGTAGCCTGGGGTGGGGGAAGGTTCTTGATCCCAGGGCCTGTGGTTTTGGCTGGGGGCAGTCTGGAATTGGGGTGATGGAAGTGGGTTCTGCTCACCCCTACTCTGCCTGTGGTGGGTGGAAGAAGCTGTAGGGATAATTAGGTTGCACCTGTGGCTCAGAGAGCTAGGATGCTGGCCCAGTTTTAGCCTTCCAGGAACCTATTCACTAGAATTCCTTTCCACCTGCACTCAGGTACTTCCCTACTCTTGGTCTGGACTCCTCTTTGCATCGGGTAATTATTTATCACTGTATCTGGTCCCCTCCAGGGCTGAGACTGACTCTCGAGGCTCCCAGCCCCTGCCAGTTGCAAGGCATGGGGTGGGTGCTTGCAAGTGTAAGCCTCGGCAAACAAGGCCTGGCTTGTCCCCCCAGGTGTGTGTTGAGAAGCTGATGCCGCTGAGCTCGTTTTGCAGTGCGTTCCACCAGGCCACGTACAACAAGCAGCCCATGTACCGCAAAGCCATCTACGAGGTCCTGCAGGTGAGTGTCCCTGCTGGGAGCTCGGAGGAGGAGCCTAGAGCACTAGGAGGCCTGGAAGTTGGAGTGCAGGTCGGGCTTGAGCAGAACGGAGGCCCAGGAGGCAGCGACTCCTTTCTCTCCACCTCGCTCGCCCGTATGCACATCCCGCTCCTCCTCAGCGGTTCCTCCCCATCTTGCCTGTGCCACCCTCACTACTCAGAGTCTGGCCTTGAGCCTGACCCATCTGCCTTCCAGCCTGTCCTGACAACCCCAACCCTGGCGTGTCACCCTCCAGGTGGCCAGCAGCCGCGCGGGGAAGCTGTTCCCGGTGTGCCACGACAGCGATGAGAGTGACACTGCCAAGGCCGTGGAGGTGCAGAACAAGCCCATGATTGAATGGGCCCTGGGGGGCTTCCAGCCTTCTGGCCCTAAGGGCCTGGAGCCACCAGAAGGTAAATGAGGGCACCCAGCTTTCTGGGACCCCTGCCCGCCAGGCAGATCCACACCAGGGCTGGGAAAGCCATGCTTAGGGAGGGCTGCCAAGGCCTCCACAGAGGGGCCCAGTGGGAACAGCCGGGGTCTCTCTTGCCCTGGGGTCAGGACTTGAATGACCTGCTCTCTGTTGGTTGGCTAGAACCGTAGAGTTGGGAGGTGGGAACAAGTTGGAGACCAGGCCGCACCCCACTGTAAGGAGGGTGGGGGAAGGGGCTGGAGTTTCCTGTCAGCCTGTAACTGACCTTGGCACCTGCTTTCCTCCTCCAGAAGAGAAGAATCCCTACAAAGAAGTGTACACGGACATGTGGGTGGAACCTGAGGCAGCTGCCTACGCACCACCTCCACCAGCCAAAAAGCCCCGGAAGAGCACAGCGGAGAAGCCCAAGGTCAAGGAGATTATTGATGAGCGCACAAGAGGTAGTTGGCCTGCTTCTGGAGAGGGTGGCACCAGGAGGCCTGCATCCGAGGAGCAGGCGCGGCCTCCTCTGACGCCAGCTCTCCTCCCCTTGCAGAGCGGCTGGTGTACGAGGTGCGGCAGAAGTGCCGGAACATTGAGGGTAAGTTTGTTGCCTGGGAACTCTGGCACTCCTAGTGTGGCATGGGGCAGAGTAGCAGAGGCACTTAGGAAGGTTTGAATGACATGGGACCAGGGGCCACGTCCTGCGTGTCACACCACCTTCACCGTGCTTCGTGCACTGTCTGTCTTTCTGGTGCCATGATTCTGCTCTCCTGTCAATGGCGTGGGCTGGTCTTCAGGGTGTGGGACTCCCCAGTGGCCACAGAAGGGCAGCCCCTCTTGGGTGTGACTGAACTCACCTACAGGTCCCCTTTCAGCCTTTCACCTTTGCTCACCTCTCTCATCCTGGGGCTGTCGCCCTCAGCCTGGTGCTGGTGGATCTGGCTCAGGACCCTCGGCCTGGGAGGATTGGGGCAGGGGTCAGGACTTGAGGATTACCCCGGGAATCCCTCCTGAGTAACCTGGAACCAGGGCTGCTTCTCATGAGCAGGTTTCTGTCCTGCTGTCACTCCATCCCTGTTTGTGGATGGTGGCATTGGTGCTCTGAGATGATGGCGTTCGAGACTGGGGTCACAGTGCCTCCCTTTTCCGTGGGGCACCCTGGACTCTTTTCTGGCTGCCGCTCTGGCACACCCCTTTTTTGTGGCTGGTCTGGTGCTGGGCTCCGGCCCGGGGAGGGAGAGGCCCTTCGGTGGTACTCACCCCATCCCCTCCCTCTGCTTTCCAGACATCTGCATCTCCTGTGGGAGCCTCAATGTTACCCTGGAACACCCCCTCTTCGTTGGAGGAATGTGCCAAAACTGCAAGGTAGGAGCACACCCACCCAGGAGAGGTGCCGTTGAGGCCGGCCCTTCGGCCTTCTGGCTGACTGTGTCCACCGCTTCTGGGCATGTACAGGGTGACACCCGGTGTGCGTGTGATGTAGACTTCAGAGCTTCCTCTGGAAGCAGAGTCCTGATGACACGGGCCCTTGGGTTTCAAGCTTTTGACTTGCTCTCATTTTTCTCCTCTGAAAGATTCTTTACCTCTCTCAAGCCCCATTTTAGTCCCCAGATGTGGGGATGGGAGCAGAGCAGCGGGGACAAGCTCAGGCAGAGTGTAGCAGGGTTGCCGTGCCCTGGGGAGCCCAGGAGAAAAACCCAGGGCTGCAGGAAGGCCCAAGGTGGTGGTGCAGCCCCCTCCCTGGCCTTGTTCTCAGGCTGCTCTTTGGTTCTGTCCATGGCGGTGCACAGGCAGATGAGGTTTCCCCTTCCCAGATCTGCAGCTGGGGCCTGACCCTGGCTAAGGTGGTGGCGGGGTCATGTCTTCAGGGCTTAGGCTCTGTGAGGCCAGGTGTGGAGCCTCCCTTCGTCCTGGCCGTCCTGGGACCCGTCCTGGTGGTTTCTGACCCTTCCCGCTGCTGTCTAGAACTGCTTTCTGGAGTGTGCGTACCAGTACGACGACGACGGCTACCAGTCCTACTGCACCATCTGCTGTGGGGGCCGTGAGGTGCTCATGTGCGGAAACAACAACTGCTGCAGGTGAGGCTGTTGTGGCCTCCAGTGGTCTCCTTAGCTGGGCCCCAGGCTCCCGCCGCCCACCGCCTCCCCTCCTCTCCCTTCCCCACAGACCCTCCACCCCCTAGCCATGCTCCAGACCCGGTCTTTCCATTCCAGGTAGCACACCTTGGCCTCCCCGGACCAGGGCTGAGAGTCTCCTCTGCTCACTGGGTCTCCTTCCAGGTGCTTTTGCGTGGAGTGTGTGGACCTCTTGGTGGGGCCGGGGGCTGCCCAGGCAGCCATTAAGGAAGACCCCTGGAACTGCTACATGTGCGGGCACAAGGGTACCTACGGGCTGCTGCGGCGGCGAGAGGACTGGCCCTCCCGGCTCCAGATGTTCTTCGCTAATAACCACGACCAGGAATTTGTGAGTGCTGGGCCTGGGGCGCGGTCTCGAGCTCCCTTGGCTGAGCCTTGGTTGTGGGGCCTGAGCTGTGCGCAGGGTGTGTGGGTCTAGGAGCCTGGCTGGAGGGCCAGCGCTGGGTGGGAGCTTGGGACACCGCTGGGCCTGCATCTGACCTGTTGTGCTCACTGCTTAGGACCCTCCAAAGGTTTACCCACCTGTCCCAGCTGAGAAGAGGAAGCCCATCCGGGTGCTGTCTCTCTTTGATGGAATCGCTACAGGTGAGGGGTGCAGGCCCAAGAGGTGCTGGCCGCCTTGTCCCAGGATGGGGGAGCCAGGTGTGTGGGCAACTCTGGCAAAACGAAATGATGGTTAGCTTCACAGCTGTTAAAATATTATCCCAAAGGGGAAGCTTGTGTGTGAAGTGGAAACGTATGCAGTCCGTGGACTTAGATTTGACCAAAAATAAAAAAGTAAAACAGGTGGTAAAGCAGCCTGCCTGCTGGGCGCTTCCTTAGTAAGGAAGATTCAGCCACAGAGGCCGAGTGATCATTAGTCAGATTCACAGAGATTTCACAGAGCCTCAAAGGACAGATTCAGCAAGACAGAAACATACACAGTTCTGTTGTGTTTTGATTATACACAAGATAGTCTAAAGAAGACTTATTTAAATCACCCATTATCCTTTTATTAATATTTTGGCATATGTCCTTTTCAGATTTTTTTCTGTGCGTTTGTGTTTATATAACCATACATCCATAGATAGATAAATTAAGTGGGTAGTGAATGCACACGGTTTTGTAACTTGCCTTGCATTTATTATATTATGATTGCTTTTTCATGTCAAGCGATATAAAGCTACATTTTTTTTTTTTTTTTTGAGACGGAGTCTGTTGCCCAGGCTGGAGTGCAGTGGTGCCATCTTGGCCCACTGCAACCTCTGCCTCCTGGGTTCAAGCAGTTCTCCTGCCTCAGCCTCCCGAGTAGCTGGGACTGCAGGCACCCACCACCACGCCCAGCTAATTTTTGTGTTTTTAGTAGAGACGGTGTTTCACCGTGTTGGCCAGGCTGGTCTCGATCTCTTGACCTTGTGATCCGCCCACCTCGGCCTCCCAAAGTGCTGGGATTACAGGCATGAGCCACCAGACCCGGCCAAAGCTACATTCTTTATTTGTAAGTGTTGCGTAAGGTTCCATTGAGTCAAAGTGCCGTAATTTATTTAACGAACCCCTATTAGGTCATTTACTATTTTTTTTATTATTATTATAAGTAGTGCTGTGACAAGCATCCTGATAGAATATATACTTGAACCATTCCCTCCTTAGGAAAACCTTTAGGAGATGCTGGGTCACCCTGCAGGCATTGTTTGCTTCATGTGACTCTGGACACTGCAGAAAGCGTCCTAGGAGATTGTGAAGACACATCCACCCCTCTGCCCTGCCCCCCCAGCCAAGGGCTTCCCGGCTTTTAAGAAAGGAATAGCTCTTCTTAGAATTCATGTCTTTGGCCAGAGGGAGATAGGCAGTCTCAACCCAGGGACCCTGGTTAGAGGGTGAGGCGGAGGGGATGGCTTCCCCGGCCAGATGTTTGTCTTCTGTTCTCAGCTCCATGCTGCTCTTCTGTAAACCTAGAGAAGTTCATTTACAGCTTTTTGTATCCCAGACTGGAACCTTGAGGCCTTCTTAAATCATGTCACACCCCAGGAGGCTGTAAAAGCTCCTTGGCTGGGGGACATGTTGGGAGCAGCAGAAACAGTGCCGTACCCTGTTTCTCCCGAGACCCTCTCGGGATCTGCTCTGATTGTTTCCTTGCCTCAGTTCGGCTAGCATTTCTGGAGGGGGAGGGATCGTGGTAAGGAAATCTGTGTGGTTAGCTCGGGGGAAGCACAATGAAGGAGGCCTCCTCTGTCTGGAAGAGCCTTTGCAATCCACGAGAGGGCTGAGTGAGGAATGGAAACTGCTCTGATGGGGAGGCAAGGGATGCACAGAGCTGGGGACTCATAGCGGAGGGGGCGGTGATTCCAGGGGCTACTGGGTGGGGCAGGGCATTTATGAAACCTTTGTGGAGCAGGGAACATTCAGGTTGAGTCAAAGGGTGGGGTAGAATTGTAGCAGGAGGTGATAAGAGGGTATGGAAGGACCAAGTTGTAGACGGACAACAACAAAGAAAAGGCCCCCAAAAAGTCAGCTGTGATTCTTCCTGGATCCTGGAACCATGTACTCTCCGGTCAGTTTTCTGCAGCTTTGACTGCCTTCCAGATAGGCCAAACGAGGCATGAGACAGAGCCTCGATGTCCTTACTATGGATACTCCAGTTGGATCCAGAAAGGATTTAAGGCATCTTCAGGGAAAAGATAGGACTTGGGCCTACAGCTGACCCCATGGGTCCTGTTGGCCAGCAGGCTCACCTGCCGAGACCAGGGTGCCAGGGAGATGGCTCCAAGTAACGGTGCTGTCTGCTGGCTGGTGCAGGGCTCCTGGTGCTGAAGGACTTGGGCATTCAGGTGGACCGCTACATTGCCTCGGAGGTGTGTGAGGACTCCATCACGGTGGGCATGGTGCGGCACCAGGGGAAGATCATGTACGTCGGGGACGTCCGCAGCGTCACACAGAAGCATGTATGTCCATGCTGTGGGGCGCAGCCCGTCTTCCCCTCCCTGCACACTCAGCACCTGGAGGCAGCCCTTGCCTCCTTTCATTTTGTTCATTTGCCCTCTTTCTCTTCACCCTTTGCCCCAGCCTCTTTTTCTCCTTATCTTCCATTTGTCCTCTGTCTTGAGAGGGTAAAGGGCAAATTGAAATGGGAATTTGGGCTAGGCATGGTGGCTCATGCCTATAATGCCAGCACTTTGGGAGGCCAAGGTAGGAGAATCCCTTGAGGCCAGGGGTTTAAGACTAGCTTGGGCAACATAGTGCCTACTTGAGCTCTGGCTACTCCCTGGGCTGGTTTCTGGACAGTTTCTAGTAGAGCTCTTTGGATTAGAGAGAGGTTCCTGTCCTCCCAATACTTTTGGCAAATAGCTTTATCAGCTTCCATATCTGGGAGGCTCAGGCAGGGTCTTCCCTTAAGCATGACTACAGGCCCTCTGGAGTCCTGAAGGGCAACTGGAGGACATTCACATGGCCCAGACACCCTGCCTAAGACACTCAGCATGCCAGGTACCTTCAGACTCAGCCGTCCACTTGGGTCACCTTCCCAGTGGGTGGCTGTGTTGCCTGCCTGGGTGATACTAGTTTCCCCATTGGCCTAAGAAATGATCCAACTTGGTCCCGTTCTTGTTTAGGACTTGTCCATGGTTGCAGCTAGGGTCGTGAGCCTGCAGAGCAGCTGGGTCTCCTCTCTTTCGTGTCAAAGGACTTCTTTGCCAAGTTCACAGATAATTTCTCTTTCTTCCTGTCTGCCTCTGTCCCTGGACAGCAGGCCCATCACGTTGCCTTTATCCTCCCAGATCCAGGAGTGGGGCCCATTCGATCTGGTGATTGGGGGCAGTCCCTGCAATGACCTCTCCATCGTCAACCCTGCTCGCAAGGGCCTCTACGGTAGGTACCATCCTGTCCCCTCCACCTTCTCAGCTGGTGCTTCCGCACATAGGCTTCCTCCTTGGATATTTCTGCCCTGGGACAGCTATTCCCGATGACCCTGTCTTCCCGTGCCCTCCCCGTGCCCGAGCCACACCACTGTCCTATGCAGACAGCCCCAGCTGATGGCTTTCTCTTCCGACCTCTCAGAGGGCACTGGCCGGCTCTTCTTTGAGTTCTACCGCCTCCTGCATGATGCGCGGCCCAAGGAGGGAGATGATCGCCCCTTCTTCTGGCTCTTTGAGAATGTGGTGGCCATGGGCGTTAGTGACAAGAGGGACATCTCGCGATTTCTCGAGGTATAGCCAGCAACCTTGGTTTGGCCAGCTCACTAATGGCTTCTACCTTGGACTGCTGCTTCATCCTGTCTCATCTGCATTGTGGAGCTGGGGACTGGTGACTTCTGCTTTGCAAGGGGCCTGTTTGGGAAGCCCCAGGCTTCCTGGATAGAAAGGGAGGAAGCAGGGTTAGAGGCCTACCTCGGAAAGAACCAGTGGTCTCACTCTAAGAGGTGGCATTGTGGGTGTGGACCTCCGGGGTTGAAGGACCTGTCACTCAATCAGGTGGGGTGCCAGACTCCTGGGGTTGGGTATTCTGTATGGTGTTTGTTACACACCAGGATCTTTGAGAGGACAAAATCAGTTTTCCCTGAGCAAGAAGGGCCTATCCTCACTCCCTGGTACCATGACAGGCACCTGAGAAGAAAACAAGACTTAGCTCAGTTTTCATTCCTTATCATGTGAGTCCCCGTTTAACCCTGAGCCAAGTCTGAGCCGCGTGCAGAGGGCTTCTGCTGCCAGAGGCGTGCTTGGAGTGGCCCTTCTGGGAGCTTGAGCCCACCTGTGCTCCTGAGTCTTGGGGTGGGTCACACTGTGAGCTGGTGTTCTGACTGTAAGTGTGAGCAGGCGTCTGTTTGAGTTCTAATCAGGGCTCATGGTAAACACACCCATACTCGCTGGAGCCTGGGCTCTCCCAGCCTCTGGGTAGTCTAGAGCAGCACTGTGCAATATGGTAGCCACCAGCCACATGCGGCTGTTTACATTAACATTAACCATTCAGCTCCTCAATCACATTGGCCTCATTTTAGGTACAAAATAGCCACCTGTACTAGTGGGCTAGTGGCCACTGAATTGAACAGTGTAGAGGACAACCCACCATCGCAGAAGTTCATTTGGACAATGCTGATCTAGAACGTTCCAGTGACAGCTTGTGGAATGTGGCTAGGTGTAATTCCAGCTTCTCCTGGAGGCTGCAGGCTAGCCCAGTGTGTGGCTCCTGAGAGAGAAGTAAGAGGCTTTGAGGCTTTAAGGCTCGACCCCAGCAGCATGCCGGCGCTGTTTCATGCTCCTCCTTGGCTCATCTTCAAACCGTCTCCTGTTTTGTAGTCCAACCCTGTGATGATTGATGCCAAAGAAGTGTCAGCTGCACACAGGGCCCGCTACTTCTGGGGTAACCTTCCCGGTATGAACAGGTTGGTGAAAGCTCCTGGGCCTGGGGGGCTGTGGGCTGGGACTGCAGGTGGGATGACCCATAGTGGGGAAGCCCCTGAGCCGGGCCCTCTCTGGCCGGCCTCTGCTGAATGACTAGCTGCTCTGCCATGTTCCTTATTTCCTTTTCCTTGAGGAGGAAGAGGAGTCAGGGTATAGAAAATACTCGTCTGAAACCAACAACTAGTGGTCTTAAAGCAGGACCTTTAAAAGTACTCTCTTTATACCAAAGAAGAGTCCTGTGCTGCTGAGTTAGGTAGTTGGTTTTCTGACATTGGTGATGTGTCCCGAGCCCTCTGGTTCTTAGATTCTCCTGAGGCAAAGCCATGGGGCATGGCTTTGGGGCTGGGAAGGGGAGTTGTGGCCACAGCCTGTTCCAGGAGAGGGAATCTTGCAGCGGCTGCATGCAAGTTCAGGGTTCTGCTTAACTTAATTTTACTAATCACACACTTTGTTGGCTTCAGGTCCTTTTTTGGAGAGATTTTCTTCAGTTAGGTTACACAGATAAAGATTTTAATATCTAGGAATGAAGAAAATTCATTTCATCAGTTATAAAACTGGCATTATAAAAAGGCTTTTTAGGCGAAATAAATTGTCCAGAGTTGGCAATTCAAAAGCATGCTGAGAGCCGCTCAGTCCCTGTCCATTGTGGAGGGAAGCGTTTTCCAGAGTGTTCTGAGTCATGGGTGTTAAACCTCCATGGTGGGCTGCTTGGTATACTTGGTATAACTAGGAGACATCATTTCACCTGGCCTCGGTCAAATAATCTCCCTCCTTGCTATTCCCATGAGGTTGTAGGACCTTCCCCATCTCATACATGTTTGGTAGAGTTGCTATCGAGGGCTTGTTGAGGGGAAGGAGATGGGGCATTGGGGCAGCTGGCCTGAAACTGTCCCCCGAGAGTTCCCAAGATACATGTGCATATTGGGAAATGGATGGGCTAATGAGGTCCAGTATTTTCATGGAACCACTCAGTGTCTCCCGACAGACCTTGGTCCTGTGGGATTTCTCGCCTGCTTCTTTCAACTCTAAAATACTAAACTCTGAGCTTCTAGGAGGAGCAGAGGTCCTGCATGCAGGGCCGACTGGGCAGTGCACGCATAAAGAGTCGGGGACATCTGTCGAGCACCTGATTTGACTGCAGGCCCCGTGGTTCCCACACTGAGATCCTGGAGCCAGTGCTCAGGGAAGCCTTCCTTAAATATCCTTACATGTCAGAAAAGGTCAGCGTTGAAGGGGACAGCCAGTCAGTTATGTGGCCTGCACCCTGAGAAGTGACATATTTAATGTCACAGAATTTTTGGTCTTTAGGGAACTGCAGAATTTAAGTCTGGTTTTTTTTTTTTTTGGAGACAGAGTCTTGCTCTGTCGCCCAGGCTGGAGTGCAGTGGTGCCATCCTGGCTCACTGCAGCCTCCGCCTCCCAGGTTCAAGCGATTCTCCTGCCTCAGCCTCCCGAGTAGCTGGGATTACAGGCACCTGCCACCACGTCTGGCTAATTTTTATATTAGTAGAGACCGGGTTTCACCATGTTGATCAGGATGGACTCAAACTCCTGACCTCAGGTGACCCGCCTGCCTCAGCCTTCCAAAGGGCTGGGATTGCAGGCATGAGCCACTGCGCCTGGCCCAGAATTTAGTCTTTTAAAGCAGTACATTTAAGGCTTGCGGTTTGATTAATTTCATCCAGTGGACACACCCGTGTAACAATCACCACAAATCAAGATACAGAACATTGTCACCCCCAAAGCTTGCTTCGCAGTGGGACGCTTAAAGCTCAGTGTATTTTAGACTAACTGATGTAAAGATAGCTGTGCTTTTTTTTTCTTTTTCTGCTAGGTGTTATCTGCCTGTTCACAATTTGAGACCACTTTTGAATTTACCTTTAAGGATTAACGCTTGGTGGATTTGTGTCTTTGCATGGCTGCAGTGTGTGTTCGTGTGTTTGCGGGGAGTTTGAAGAGAGTTATGACGTGTGTGCGTGATTTGGGGAAGGGGCTCTTACCCTGTGAACTAGTGGCTGCTGGGGGAGGGAGGGGAGTCGTGCAGCTGGGGCCCTTCCCGCTGTTATCCAGGTTTCTGTTGTT